>NW_025791811.1:0-273725 GCF_000001405.40 Homo sapiens | reverse complement strand
GATCTTTTGCTATAGTAATTGAATCTGTAGTCATAACCTATAGTTTTCCACCATATTTAGAGTAAGTTCTAAGCTTATCATAAGCACGTAAGGGTCGAAAAGATTCAACCCATCTTCACCCTCTTTGTTCCAACCCAACTAAAACGCTACCCTAAATGCTGTTCCCTAGATTTACACATGTCTGGGTCTATTACTGACTTCCAAGTTACTAATTCAAATGTCACCTCCTCAGAAAAGCATCCCTCATTATCCTACCTAAAGTGGTCCCTTCTCCTCATTCTAGCATTTTATCTTCTTTATAGCACTTATCACATTCTGAAATTATTTGCTCATCTATTTATCTGTTCTGCGTAAAATGTAAATACTTTGAAAGCAAAAATCCTGTTTCGTTCATGACTATCTCAAATGCCTGACAAAATTCAATCAGTAATATTGAATAAATGTTCTTCCAAAAAATGAAACCTCATCAGGGCATTGGCTAACCCCTCTCCCTGAACCACTCCACCCAGCTTCATGTCCCATCTTATTCAAGTCTCAGCTTATATATTGCTGCTTCAAAAAGGACTTCTCTGACCAACCTAACATAGCCTTAATCCGAACTGCAGTCATTCATTCTGTATCACTTCACCCTACTTATTCCCATCATACTACCCTTCAAAATTTAAAGCATCTTATTTACCTATTTTTGACCATCAACAAGTTGATGAGATCAGGGGTCTTGTCTTTTTCACTTATATTCTTATTTGCCTAGGACAGTGTCTGGTGCTTAGTAGGTGCTCAATAAATTTTTGAGTGAATAATGATTGTAAATATGTTTACAAAAAAGCATATGTCTGAAATTAACTCGAGATTAAACAAAATGCAAAAATAAAAAATTGAAAATAAAGTTTAATCTGAATCACGAACTACATCATTAAAAAGACAGAGGTGAGAGGAAAAAGAATGGGAGAAGTTAAATTGTTTCACCTTAAACTGGGGAAATTAATGTATCTTTAATAGTGTTAATTCAAAAAATATAGGCTCAAATATTTGAAAAACATAGAAATAGTTTTCAGGAGAATTAAAGTTAACCCTCTACACACGTAGAAAGAAAACAGTTTGCATAACAGCAATGAAGCATGAGAAACTAAATGAATAAGCCAGCAGTTAAAATATGAATGAAAATGAATAAAACAGGCCAGACGCAGTGGCTCAAGCCTGTAATCCCAGCACTTTGGGAGGCTGAGATGGGCGGATCATGAGGTCAAGAGATCGAGACCATCCTGGCCAACATTGTGAAACCTCGTCTCTACTAAAAATACAAAAATTAGCTGGGTGTGGTGGCACATGCCTGTAGTCCCAGCTACTCAGGAGGCTGAGGCAGAAGAATTGCTTGAACCTGGGAGGCAGAGGTTGCAGTGAGCCGAGATCACGCCACTGCACTCCAGCCTGGTGACAGAGCGAGACTCTGTCTCAAAAAAAAAAAAAAAAGGTAAAAGGAAAAAAGAAAAAGAAAAAGAAAAATGAATAGAACTCCTCTAGTAAAAGTCAAAGAAAAAAGGAGTCAAAGACTCTCAATATAGGAAAAAACTCCATAAGGAAAAATTTTTTAAAAAAAGAGGGCAAAGATATAATCAACAAATGAAAATAAAAACAAAACCAAAATATAAGAGAAAAAAGTTTCATTTTTTTTTTTGTATTTTTCTAAATGTACCCTGCCATACAGAGGACAGAGAAGAGGTAGGACTGAATGTGAGAACATATAGGCAAACAATTAGCAGAGGGTATTATTCACTGACATTTTCAATAGGTAATACAATCGTGATTAAGTTTCACTGAATTTCTAGTTATTTTAATATTATTTAATAATAATATCCTCACACTAAAGCAGTATTTTTTGCTTACCGTAATTTGAGTTTTATTGAAGCATACATATATGCAGAAAAACTCACAAATCATAAATTTTACAACTCACTGAATTATCTCAAGGTCAGTATACCCATGTAACCACCACCCAAGTCAAGAAAAGGAACACTACTAATACCTAGAAGCCCAATACCACTTCCCAATCCCTATCCCTTCCTCATCCATAAAAGTAGCCACTAACCTGAGGTCTAATAACCAGTTTTGCCTGCTTTTGTATTTTATAGTTTTTAAATTCCTAGTTTTGCCTGCTTTTGAATTTTATATAGGGAATCATACACGGTAAGTATTTGTGTCTAGTTTATTTTGATCAACATCGGTTCATGTAATTTATCTTTGTTGTTGCACGGGGCCGCAATTCATGCATTTTTATTGCTGTACGCATTACTATACAGCACTGAATTAAATCTACCATAATCTGTTTACCCATTTTACTGCTGATGGCCATTTTTGTTTCCAGGTTTCGGCTAATACAAATAATGCTACTTTGAATGTTACTGTGCTTGCCTTTTAGTGGGTATCTGCATGAATTCCTATCGAAGTTGCTGGATATATGTATGTATACACATACCCACAGCTTTAGCAGGTGTTGCTAGTTTTCAGAAGTGATTTTTACAATTTATATTTTCCCACCAGCAGCAAAAAGAGAGGTGCATCGCTCTCCACTTTCTGCTAATACTTGGTACTGTCGATCTTTCTAATTTTAGCCATTCTGCTGAGTGTTAATATTATGTCTTTACAGTTTGAACTGACTGCTCAAATCTCTTTCCCATTTATTCTATTGGGTTGTCTGTCCTTTATACTGATGTAGGAGTTTACATAGTATGGATATAAGCCATCTGTCAGATATATATATTACAAGTATCTGCTGTTACTGTTTTGTTTTTCTCTTATCAGTAACTTTTGATGACAGAAATTCTTGAACTGTCAACAGTCCAGGTTATCAATCTTCCCTTTTATACCTGTGAGTTGTGTGTCCTGTTTAAGAAACATTTTCCTACTTCAAGATTATAAAGTACTGATACTTTCAGTCTGATAGAAAGATGTAAGATATTCTCTTATACTGTCCTCTAGGGGCTTATTTTACTTTTCACATTTAGATCTTCAATCAAATGTGCATGGTGGGAAGCAGGGATCAAGTTTCATTGTTTTTCCCATTTGGATATCCACATGATAAGCAATGTTTAATGAAAAGATTGAATATTTTTAATTGATGAAGAATAAAATATATTATGAAGATATCAATCACAAACTTCTAAGAATCAAATAATGTAGCAATAAAACGTTAAAAAACAATGAGAAAAATGACAAACACACAACAGTAATACAAAACTTTAATAAAATTATCATAAATACATGATAGCTGAAGCACATAAAAAAAAAAAGAGATCTGAATAAATATATAAAACTGTATACCCTTCAGAGGACTCACCTTCTTTGTCAGTGCTTGGGGCACATTTTAAATACTGATCTTATATGTATCACCAAAAAAGATTTTAATTCTCAAAAACCAGAAACTGTACATTCCTTATTCTCTGATTATATTATACTAAAAATGGAAAATAACAATTGTAAACACATACATTTCATCATTTTTAAATACCCTCTTAAGTAACTTTTAGATCAATGAGGAAATTGCAGCTACATTTTATTGAAAATCTAGAAAATAACAAAAACAGCATCTTCTATTATATGGCATTTACTCAAATCTGTAATTTAGAAGCAAATTTAGAGTAATAAAAGCTTTTGCACAAAAAGAAAAATGGAAGTACTAAGTTGTTAGAAAAACCTGGAAGACAAAAAAAACAGGTAAAATTATTTTTTCAGTTAGCAAGCAGAAGAATAAAATTCAAAGGGCCATTGCTTTAAAAAAACAATAAAATACATATATACCTCCAATCTAATTACAATCTAAAAACAGACAACACAAGACATAACATAAATGTAATGATAAAGGGGGTTTTGTCACATATGGAAGTCAAATATCATAAGAAAATTCTATACATAAGTGTTTGCTAATAATTTTTTTAAACTGAACAAAACAGACAATTCTTAAGGAAAACACAAATTATCATATTATCCAAAACCTGAGAAGACCAATAACTATAGAATAAACTGAAAAAGTCATGAAATAAATACCTCTATGAAAGGTCATGGGTAAAATCTAATTATATCATATATTACCCATTTACAATCTGCATAATCAATCAATCAACAGAAATGTCGGTAACACAGTCTGGGGTTCTTATTAAAAACTGGCATCCATTAATTCATTTACTCATTCAACAAATATATATCCAATGAGGACCCTGTGTGTACTGGCCTCTGCTAAATACCAGATACAAATATGTACAAGCCAAACATGATACCTGACCTCTAGAAGTTATAGAACACAAACAAGTAAACAGGTAATTACAACAAATTGAGATGTTATATAAGAGGAGAAGGGACAGGTTTAAAAAAAAAAAAAACAGTACTGATCCCTACTCTCAGCAATGTTGGGGAGAAGAGGGTGGAAGAGACAGCTGGTATATGTTGAATGCCTGCTCTTTGCTGTCTGTGTCAGGTGCCACAAAAAGACATTCTCATTCATTCCCAGTAAGAACTCTGGACAGGTAACTTGCCCTATGCCCAGACTGGTAAATGGACAAGTTTTAAGGATTCATAGTCAAATGTGTATATATATGTATTTTTTTTTTTTTTTTTTGCTCCTGAAACTTCTGATCTTTCCCTAATGCCATTAAAGGAGAATAAGAATAACTAATGGAAGAGCAATAAAAGAGAACACCAAACAAAGGCTGTGGCAAAGGATCAGTAGAGTCAAAAGAGAAAGACTGTAACAGGCTTACAAGTTAATTAATGCATTTTTGGAAATCGATCACTAGAGGGCGGCATTGCAAAGACTATGAATAACAAGTCACAAAAAAAAGAACCAGAGTAAAACTATAAAGAACGCCAATGTGTTTAATCCATTTGTAAGTACTTTTTAGAATGCTTAAAACATTATTTCATGTTTAAGACAAAATAAACGCATGTTTTTCTTTCTTAACCTGAAATGTGTAGAAAATATTTCCTTGGAGTTTCACAAAACAAAGACTACTGTAACATAGTAGATGAGTAAGTCCATAAATACAAAATCTAATTTTATAAACTAGCTTTGGTACAGCAGCTTCTCAGTTTGAAAATAATCATATCGACCTTTATGT
The DNA here is from genome assembly GCF_000001405.40 of Homo sapiens. Lineage (NCBI taxonomy): Eukaryota > Metazoa > Chordata > Mammalia > Primates > Hominidae > Homo > Homo sapiens. The sequence continues at coordinate 268,617 of NW_025791811.1, read as the reverse complement.
TTTCTTTTGTCAACATACTAATATTAACAAAATTAACCCATATAGAACTATTTTCAGAAAGGCAGTCTATAAATAATTATATCATAGAGTCAGGAACCTGAACTTTGAGAAAGTGCCTTTAAATGAAAGGCAAAGACAGATAAATAATTCTTCTAAAATAAAATCACTGCCTGCATGTTCTCATCTCTGAGTACTTCACAATCCAGAGTTTTCTGGCCCCATTGAAATTGTTCTGGACAAATTTACCAGTGGCAATTCTTTACCAAATCTGAAGGATTCCTTGCACTTTTTATGTTTCTACACCTCTCTGTGACATCTGACACAACTGAACATTCTTCTTTAGTGAAACACTAATTTCTTGCATCCAGCATAACCCTCACCATTATACTTTTACTCTATTGGCTCCCTCCCTGGCCACTTTTAAAGTTTAAAAACTTCAAACCTTCTTAAACTTGGGGAGTTTAAAACTCAGCCCTTTTCTATCACATCTTTTCTTTAAACAAATCTTCATTACATGGAGCACTTGCCAAATCTCATTCTCCAGCCAACTTCTCATAACTGTGTGCTAGCTACCTCTGCTTATCTCTGCAGCTCCTCTTCTACCATCCAGCCTTCTACTCTAAGATGTTGCTACAGTAAATGGTCTACAACTTGCACTCAGCTGGAAACTCCCCTCTTGGAGCTCCCCCATCCACCTGCTTTTGGAATTCCTCCTCATCCTTATACATCTTGCTAAATTGTCATACACTCTACAAGTTTCCCCAGTATTCTCCAGGAATCATTCCCATCCTGGTAGCTTTCACTATTGGGTGGATCATACTAGATTCCAAATACTCATTTGGTTTTATTTCCCCACTCAATGTGGTGGGGGAGGCAGAAAAGTAAACAACCAATTACAATAAGTGCTTTAGATAATCCTGAAAGAGTACGATTACATACTAAAAAAATTAAAAACTAAATTTAAAAACCACCCACACAAACCAATTCGCAAGATGGTTTCTATATAACATAGTTACACTCTTAATTTCCAAGTATTAATTTACCGTTTAGGATCAGGGTTTATACCAACACCAAGCTCAACATTTAATAGAAAAAAATCAATATCCTTAATATTACAACATATTTACTATTTAAAAATTTTTATTTTGACATATGCACTAATATAAGGTCTGTTAAAATCTCAAGGAAAAGAGAAAATCATGATTACGCATCACAAAAAGCACAGTTATTTAAGTGTAAAAAATAAAATTTAAGTTCCATCACGCTATCTATGGGAAACAAAATTGAGAAAATTGACCACAATATGAATAGAAATCACCATACTTCATCTTGAAAAATTAGTATTTATTGACAAAAACCCACAATAGTTGGTTTTGAGCACTAAAGAATTTTAAAGTGGAAGTGAAGTACCTTACAAAGCTCTCGTGATAAACACACTGTACTTTTTAGGTTTGGGCAGATGCTATACATTTTCATTCATCCTTGGATGAAATGGAAGCAAAAGTACCTTCATTCACAGAGGACAAAGAGCAGCTCGGATTGTGAGAAGAGTTTATGACAACTGCCCACAGCAGAGACATAATTCCTAGGACTGAAGCACTAGCTGTTTTTCCACATTAAAAGAAGACCAGCGTTTTTCCATCAAGACCCACAAAATTCAATCATTCCTTAATTTACTCCCTTTTCAGTTTTCTACCTTCATTCACTCTAGGAAGGTCTCTTAGAGTTACATATACAACAAAAATACATATTTCTATCACCCTTTTTGTCTGTTTGCCTTCTCTCAAACAGTATTTCTTTTTCCTTCTTCAAAACAGACTTTTCTCAAAGGAGTCTTCAATGAGTCTTTCTTGATTCAAAATGGACTGGAAGACAAGGTGGGATAAAAGGCTCTTTTCCTAGAGCCCAAGCTAGAAAAAAAAAAAAAAAAGAAGAGGAGAAAATAATACAAAATTCTCTCTTAAGAGCAACATTACTTATTTTCACTGAAACAGAAAAGAAAAAAAAAAACTCTACTATTATATGGTTTCATTTCACTTACTTTACCTTGACCAATTTTATGCTCACTTATCTTTGTTTACTTCCACTTAACAGAGTTGTTACAGGAGTAAGTTCCAACTGCTGTAAGTTTTCAAAAACAACTTCCCCACATACTAATGCATACTTTTTATATTATCATTTAAAAAGGACAACAGAATTATGAATTATCAGCAATACAACTGAAGATAGTGTTTCTAAAACTTCAAATAAAAGAATTTCTTAGAAAACCTCTGAGAAATTCCCTGACATATGGTTTGCAAAAAAAAAAATCTGTTTGCAATTTTTTAAGCTGCAGTGAGGCTAGAGCTGTCCTGGAAGCCATTCTCTGAGCTCTTGGCACTTAAGTTTCTGGTATTCTAGAGAAAAATCAGGAACTTAAGACTTAGGGAGCTCCAGTTAATTAACTACTTAATTAAAACGCACAGCATTGTTAACATCTTCATGCCTGAGAAATAAATCAGAGTGTGAAATGGTTAAATAGCCAATTAACATAACCAAAGAAGAGATCATCAACAAGTTAGTTACAAATAAGATTTGTATTAAAAATATTCAAAATATTTAAAATTTAGTACAATTCACAGATCTAAACATTTCCCATTGGTTTCTAAGAGTTATTGATAGCTAATACTATTATGTCAGCATGCTGTGTACCTAAATGTTCCTGATGAATCATATTATCATGTAAATGAGTCTGCAATTCGAAAACTCTGATACAACTTAGTTATGAAGATGACAGAAAAGTTGTACGGGAACAGAAAAAGAAAAAAGACAGAAAGACACTAATATTCTTTCCTAATTTCTCTACCACCCTTGGAAAAGAAGGCCACTGCTCTACCCCAACACACCCATCTTCCTCTTCTCTCCCCCTCCCAACCCACTCTTCCAAGAAAGAGAACTATTTTGTCCCATAAAAACATAGCAATCAAGTAAAATATGTAAGAAGAATACCTGTAAGACTTTCTTTCCATAACTTGTTCCAGGCAAGGATCCTCAGGCACTCTTTCCCATGCCATCCTCCACCACTTCTTCAACCATGAGAGATGCATCCTGAATGATGGTGGAGGGTTCAGAAGTTTATAGTAGATGTGGCATATTGAAACCAAGGATCATATCCATCTCCTCACAAAAAGGATGGGCCTTTCAAGTGGTCCAGAATACCACTACAAACCTCTGTGATTATACTTACATGTTACTATTCTGATACTAATCAATTCCTAATCTCAACTCAAAAATACCCACCAGGATATACCTTTTGAATTTATAATTCTCTTTGTTTTTTCTCTTTACCATTCATTATTTTATTTATATGCTGACTCATTCCAAAAAAGATGATGGGTTGATACTATTATTAGTAAACCAATACCTAGAATTTAAAGATATCCTTACTTTACGTGATTCTCCCCATCTATATCATCTCTCACAAAATCTATGTGCAATAAGGAAATTATCAGTCACACCCTCACCCCCACCATACTTTGGGTAAAAGGGAAGGTTCAGAGAAGTGTGTGAAAATATACTTCTGTAAACGTCCAGGAATAATAGGGGAAGGAGACAACTGCTAAGAAGTAACAGAAAAGTACATGTTATAAAGAAAAGTATAGGTTGGAGATTATGTGTAAATTTAAATGGCTTATTTAGGTAACCACTTCTACCCTCATGTTGCTCTCCTCCCTTCCTCTCCAATGTAACTTGTAGTTCTTTCATTTTTTAAATAAAAATGTTCCTTTCAAAACAACATTATGTATTTTAAAAGAATTCCTCTCTCATTCCTCCATCCTTTCCTCAAAAGGTAACCATTATTAGTGTTTCATATCCTTTCACTCTTTCTTGTACACATTTGAACATGCATATAGATTTTAACCACAAATACCATACTATGCATACTGTTCTCACAACTTCCTTCTTCACTTAATATATCTTGACCATCTTTTCACAAGTATATTTCAATCTCACTCATCTTTTTAAATATTTATCTAATACGCCACGGCATTAGGTATTGTACTTAGTTACGTCTTTTCTCCCCTCCTCCTGTCTCCTCTGAAGACCTGGTTCCGTGCCCCATGTCACTTAAACACTTGTTCATATTTTTTATCTCCATCTTTTTATCTTTAGCTTCCAGTATGTTTCTTCAACTTTATTTCTAAATCACTGTTTCAATTTTCAGTCCTTCCTTTGATTATTCTTTAACAATCAGATTTTTCGTTTCTGAGAACTTCACCTATTGCTTCTTTCACAATGGCCTGATTTGAATTTTTAGCTACCTTGCCCTCTGAAATCTCTCTGAGGTTATTATATTTAAGTTCTATGTATTTGTTGCACCATTCCCACTTTCCAGGGGTCAGTTTTTTCCTTCGTTCACTTTCTGTTTTGCACTGTTGGTTTTCTGGTGCTCCTTGGCCAAATTTGTGAATAGTGTTCCAGAACTATCTAACTGGCCTGGGTTTCTCCTATAGATCTACACGTCTGTCCGTCTCTGAAGCCATCTTCCCTGAATGGGAGAGCAGATTTCAGGCTCAATGCGGGCAAAACATATCAAGCAGCATGTTTTAGTGTGTGTGCTTGCAAAGCAGATTATAGGCTGGAACCCCCAAGACTGCCAAAATAAGGAAGGCTTTACTTTTGGGATAGAGTGTTTCATGTATTACACACATACAGAGCCATCTTTCCTTTCCTTCTTCCCATATGAGTTCTTGATAGAGTTCTCAGGCTCTTTCCAATCCCAACCAGAAGCCTTCTCCAGAATCATCATATGCAGAATAGAAGCCATGACTCTATCCTTGAGAAAAATACCCTGCTGCTGATCATTCAGTATGAATGAGGAAGCGAGGAAGGGAAGTATCCAGCTACTACAGGCAGTTTGGAGCTTTTTTTTTTTTTTTTTGAGATGGGAGTTTCACTCTTGTTGCCCAGGCTGGAGTGCAATGGTGCGATCTCGGCTCACTGCAACCTCCGTGCCTCCCGGGTTGAAGCGATTCTCCTGCCTCTGCCTCCTGAGTAGCTGGGATTATAGGGACCTGCCACCACGCCCAGCTAATTTTTGTATTTTTAGTAGAGACAGAGTTTTGCAGTGTTGGCCAGGCTGGACTCAAACTCCTGAACTCAGGTGATCTGCCTGCCTCGGCCTCCCAAAGAGCTGGGATTACAGGCGTGAGCCACCGCACCAGCCTTGTTTTTGTTTTTTGTTTGTTTAGTTTAGTTGTTTTGTTTTGTTTTTGAGACAGTCTTGTTCTTGTCACCCAGGCTGGAGTACAATAATGGCACAGTCTCGGCTCACTGTAACCTCTGCCTCCTGGGTTCAAGCGATTTTCCTGCCTCAGCCTCCTTAGTAGCTGGGATTACAGGTGCCCGCCACCAAGCCCACGTAATTTTTGTATTTTTTTTTTTTTTTTTAGTAGAGACAGGGTTTCACCACGTTGGCCAGGCTGGTCTTGAACTCCTGACCTCAGGTGATCTGTCCACCTCGGCCTCCCAAAGTGCTGGGATTATAAGCGTGAGCCACCTCGCCCAGCCTAGAGGCAGTTTTTTAATTAATTACTCTGATTATCACATCACCACCTCCCCTCCACTCCAGTTCTTTCAAACTGGTAACACAAATAGAGTTCCTTGAGGTCCACTGAACCTCAGGAGCTTTTCACTTTCAGTTGCGGTTTTCTCTGTTCTTGTTCTTCTGCCCCTCTCAGTCCATCTACTTTCTATCATCAGGGAATTCCCCCAAGTTTGCTGCACCAATGTCACCCTTCTTAATACCTAATGCTGTTATAGGCTTTTTTGTTTTTTTGTTTTTTTTTTTTTTTATTAAATATATTTTTAGTTCTGTCAAACAGGTTTGAGGAAGTTTGGGTGAGTTGATTGTTGGCCTTCTTTTAAAAGTCTCCTCAAATTTTCAACACGTATTTCAGCCTGTATTTTGTCATAAACATCAAGAAGTATAAAATATCCATCCATTCCTGTGCATAGAAGCTCTTTGCATAGTATACCATGAATAGACAGTATTCTTTTACTTTCCCCTCCTTGCTCCACTCCCACTTGCTGTAGGACAGCTTGTATTAAGTCACCTAGAATTTTATTTCTCAGCTGTCATTTCTTTCCTAAGTTCCATTCATTATATCAGGAATATTTTCTCAAAAATTATATTACACTTCAAAGTACATTATTAGTAATTCTTTGTATTTAACCTTAAATGTCACTGACTGGGTTTTGGTTTGTTTTTGTTCACAAATGTTTAACATAAACCTTTCTTTTTTTGGTCCAGAAAATTCTCCATTCCAATTCATTTCATTTTGCTTAAGTACTCCCAAATACTATATTTATTTATTTAAATATGTAATTATTATAGGCTCACAGTCCTTCGGAAAGAATATATTTTGCCTTTATCGTGAAGGAATAGTTTTATTGCACATAGAACTTTAGGGTCGTAATACTGAAACTGACCCAATAGTCCCATAGATAGTTTTTTGGGTTTTTATGTCTTTTTTAATAAACATAGAAATTGATCCTTCTGGTCTTAAAGCTTGAAACTCATTTTTGTTTTATCTGAGTTCCTTCCTAAGGAAATGACTTTCAGGCCTCCCAAAAAAACTATCAAATAACTGAAACTCACCAGATCCCAACAACCAGACAATGAGATAGAGAGCGGACTCCTCATTCATCATGATTGCTTCCTTGCCCCTCTAGTTACTGTTTTCTTGCATATTGTTACATTTCTTCCCTGCTATATAAACCTCTAGTTTCAGTCCATCAGGGAGATGGATCTGAGTCTGATCTTCCATCTCCTCAGCTGCAGCATGAGATTAAAGCCTTCTTCTTTGGCAATAATCATTATCTCTGACTGGCTTTCTGTGCAGTGAGCAGCAGGACCTAGATGAAAATCCATGGTGTTCGTTAACAATACTTCTACCTCAGAATTCTATAGGAATGTTTCTACTCTTCCTTAGTATCCAGTGCAGCATTAAAAGAAAAAAAAATCAAATGCCAATCAGATTCTTTGTTAGGGGTACGCCTGCTGTTTATCTGGGAACTTCATTTTCTTTTGATACTTGAAATTTTGAAGTTTTATAAATATTTGATTTTACCAAAAACTTGATTTCATAGGTTTTATTTTAAAGCTTTTTTCAGCTCAGAACAAATTTATTCTACCATTTTACTATCTACTGCTTCTGCTACATGCACTGTATTTTTTATTTCTGGAATTCCTATTTCACACATACTGATATCCCACATCTATTATACAGGTCTCAAACTTTTCTCTCATAATGTTCAACTCTTTCTGCTGTACTTTCTGAGAAATTTCAATTTGTCAATACTGCCACCTCCATTTCAAACAAATTTACTGTCAAATATTTTAGATATACACATGAGTACAAGATATTATTTAATAAATACCTTTATGTCCACTACCCAGCTTAAGGAAAAAAAAATTATCTGGATAACAGAAATACCTTTCTTTTTCACTCCCAGGAATAACCTAAGTTTGGTGTTTATCATTTCCATGGATTTTTTTTTTTTTTTTTTTTTGAGACGGAGTCTCGCTCTGTTGCTCAGGCTGGAGTGCAGTGGCGCAATCTCGGCTCACTGCAACCTCCACCTCTCAGGTTCAAGCAATTCTCCTGACTCAGCCTCCCAAATAGCTAGGATTACAGGCACATGCCACCATGCCCGGCTAATTTTTGTATATTTGGGTTTTTTTAGTAGAGACGGAGTTTCACCATGCTGGTCAGACTGGTCTCGAACTCCTGACCTTGTGATCCGCCTACCTCGGCCTCCCAAAGTGCTAGGATTACAGGCATGAGCCACCGCGCCCAGCCCATTTCCATGGATTTCTTTGTTTTTATATATGTATATACTCATAAAACTATATATACCATTGCTTTGCATTTTTTAAGCTTCATGTGAGTATCACATTATATACTCATCTGTAATTTGTTTTCTATACTCTATATTTGTAAGGGTATTCATTTAATATAGGCATTGTAATTCAATGATTTATTATGATGTCTAGTTCAAGATCCTTAGATAGATATACCACAGTTTATTTACCCATTTTCCATTTGTTAGAGCTTAAGATGACTTCAAGTTTTTCACTCTCACACACAATATTGCTATGAATATCCCTATCCTTATTCTGTTTGTTTCTTTAAGGCAGTGTTTTTCAAACTGCAGTTTGTAACCCATCAATAATATCACATTAGTGAGCCAGGATCACAAACAGCTTAATAAATAAATAAATAAATAAATAAATAAATAAATAAATAAAAGAGAATGCTTGGGAGTAAAGGGGAAAAAGGAAGATGAACAAAGTGATGACGTACAGAGACAGATCACAATGTACTGCCTGTAGGAAGGATAAATTTTGTTTCCCGAAAATTTGATCTCAGTTATATCATGGTCAAAAGAGATCAATAAACAATGCTAAGATATATATGTATGCATAGGTAGAATTCCTGGGTTACTGGAGAAAGGCATACTGAAACTTACTAGACATTACTGAATTACTCTCAAAAGCAGTTGTTTATAATTCTACCAGCTGTCTAAGAGTTCCCATTGTTCCACATACTCACCAACACAATACTGTCAGATTTTTATCAATCTGATGCTGTCTGAAAAATCTATTTCAAAATCCTTGTTTCTGAATGATTCTGCCAGTTACTCTCCCTAGGATGACATTTGTTTTTCTTAGCATTTGAAAACCTAGCTCTATGATCTCTACCATTCATTGTTATAGTTTAGAGGTCTGCTGCCAGTCTAATTTCTATAGCTTTGTAGATAATCTGTTTCTGGCTGCTAAAAAAGGTTCTCTTAGTTTTCAGTATTATCCAGTTACTTTTTTTCCTCTGCATTAATCGTACTTCTTCAGTTTAATGATTCACACTTTAATTTTGGGAATTTCTCATTCTTTCTTTGGACACCAACTGTGAGTCTTTTCATTATCCTTTTCTGAAATTTCAATTTCATACACATTAGACGTTTATTCTTCTGACTCTAAACATCTTCATGTTTCCGTATCTGGGCTTTCTTCAAATCTGTCTTCAAGTTAATTAATTCTCTGTTCAGCTGAGTTCAATCTACTTAACCCATTTAATATTTTTCAAGGTCATTATTATATCTTTAATTTCTACAACTGCTTTAGATTCTTTTTCAGATCTACCTGGTATTTCTTAACAGTATTTTGCTCCCTGCTCATGTTTTTAATTCCCCCCTCCCTTTTAATTCTTTTGAAACATTTTATTCATTTATACTCCATTGTCTTACCTAGTAATTTCAATATCTGACATTCACAGGGGTCTAATTCTGCTATTTGTCTTTCCTGCTCACTGTTGCTCATGATTGCTGAGTTTCTCATATTTTTTTAATATGAAAGCACTTCATTTAGACTCTATCAATGGGCATACCTGAAGGAGCATCCCTCTGAAGATAATTCACTTTTCTGTTAGGTACTTTGTAGCACTGCCAACATTTATTTGATTGCTTTTAAATAATTTTCTGTCTGCAGTTTCCTAAACTATGCAGGTAGTATAAATTACAATCCCATACCCTTATGAAGGCAGGCTAATGGTCACAAGTTTTTAGTGGAAACTTTTCAGTCCCACACCAAAAGCCCAAGAGAAGAAAACGTCTCTGATGTTGAAAGGTGACAGCATGCTGGCAGCCCTGGCAGCCCTCGCTTGCTCTCGGCGCCTCCTCGACGTTGGTGCCCACTCTGGCTGCGCTTGAGGGGCCCTTCAGCCCACCGCTGCACTGTGGGAGCCCCTTTCTGGGCTGGCCAAGGCCGGAGCCGGCTCCCTCAGCTTGCAGGGAGGTGTGGAGGGAGAGGCGCAGGCGGGAACCGGGGCTACGTGCAGCGCTTGCAGGCCAGCCGAAGTTCCAGGTGGGCGTGGGCTCCTCGGGCCCCGCACTCGGAGCGGCAAGCCGGCCCGCAAGCCCCAGGCAGTGAAGGGCTTAGCACCTGGGCCACCAGCTGCTGTGCTCAATTTCTCGCCGGGCCTTAGCTGCCTCCCTGTGGGGCAGGGCTTGGGACCTGCAGCCCACCATGCCTGAGCCTCCCCTCCACTGCCATGGGCTCCTGCGTGGCCCGAGCCTCCCCGAGCGCCACTCCCTGCTCTACGGCACCCAGTCCCATCGACCGCCCAAGGGCTGAGGAGTGCAAGCACACAGCACAGAAGTGGCAGGCAGCTCCACCTGCAGCCCCAGTGCGGGATCCACTGGGTGAAGCCAGCGGGGCTCCTGAGTCTGGTGGTGACTTGAAGAATCTTTATGTCTAGCTAAGGGATTGTAAACACACCAATCAGCACTCTGTATCTAGCTCAGGGTTTGTAAATACACCAGTCAACACTCTGTATCTAGCTAATCTAGTGGGGACGTGGAGAACTTTTGGGTCTAGCTCAGGGATTGTAAACACACCAATCAGCACCCTGTCAAAACGGACCAATCAGCTCTCTGTAAAACACACCAATCAGCTCTCTGTAAAATGGACCAACCAATCAGCAGGATGTGGGTGGGGCCAAATAAGAGAATAAAAGCAGGCTGCCACGCCAGCAGTGGCAACCCGCTCAGGTCCCCTTCCACACTGTGGAAGCTTTGTTCTTTCGCTCTTTGCAATAAATCTTGCTGCTGCTCTCTCTTTGGGTCCACACTGCCTTTATAAGCTGTAACACTCACCGCGAAGGTCTGCAGCTCCACTCCTGAAGCCAGCGAGACCACGAACCCACCAGGAGGAACAAACAACTCCACACGCACCGCCTTAAGAGCTGTAACACTCACCGCGAAAGTCTGCAGCTTCACTCCTGAGCCAGTGAGACCACGAACCCACCAGAAGGAAAAAACTCTGAACACATGCGAACATCAGAAGGAACAAACTCTGGACACACTGCCTTTAAGAACTGTAACACTCACCGCGAGGGTCTGTGGCTTCATTCTTGAAGTCAGTGAGACCAAGAACCCACCAATTCAGGACACAGTGTCTTTCTCGTGGAAAGTAAATTTAATTTTCTAGGCTCCCTTTCACTGAAGCCTTATCGTGAAGAATCCTGGCTTTATGCAGGTGTGAAAGATAGATGACACAGGTTTTCGCCCATGGATCCTGGTTCATAACACTGACAGTCCTTGTTATACATTGGCCTTCAGAAGTAGGCCTCAGAAGGTAATGTCTCTGACCTTCTCTTTCCCTCCTTTCACATGATCCTTTTTCTCCCCAAGGCAGGAATTTTCCCCTGCCTTTCCATCTTGAAGCTGCCCATAAAGAAATTCTCTGACCTACGTTGTCTGACTGCAGGTAATAAGACACCCATTTCAGAAGAGGTTCTCCCATACCCTGGAGAAATTAACAGTGCACAGAGAGGCTAAGAATCTGAACCGGCCTTTCTAGGTTTTCCCACTCAGTCTATAAGTATTAGCTCATAACCTTTTTGTCCAATCACATTTCTACACAGTTCTTCAATCACACCTATCCAATGAAGTCTCCATAAAAGTAGCAATAGGACAGGCTTCTGAGAGCTTCCAGATAGCTGAACACATAAAGGTTCCTCTAGGGTGGCACACTCAGAGAAGGCAGAGAAGCTCTATGCCCCTTCCTATACCTTGCCCTATCCATCTCTTTAGCTATATCCTTTGTAATGTCCTTTATAATAAACTGGTAAATGTGTATCCCTGTGTTCTGTAAGCCACTTCAGCAGCTTAACTGAAACCAAGGAAAGGGTGTGAGATCCCTGATTTATAGTTGGTCCGTCAGAAGCACAGGTAAAACAACCCAGGGGAGCCAGAAGCAGTGGCTCTCACCTGTAATCCCAGCACTTTGGAAGGCCAAGGTGGGAGGACTGCTTGAGCCCAAGAGTTTGAGACCAGCCCAGGCAACATAGTAAGACCCCATCTCTACAAAAAAATTTAAAAATTAGCCAGGCATGGTGATGTGAACCTGCAGTCCCAGCTACTTGGGAGACTGAAGCAGGAGGCTCATATGAGCTCAGAAGGTCGAGGCTGTGGTGAGCTGTGTTCACACCACTGCACTCCAGCCTGGGTGACAGAGCAAGATCATGTCTCAATAAAAAAAAAAAAAAACCCACCACCTGGGTTTGCAACTGGTATCAGGAGTAATGGGCAGTTTTGTGAGACTGAACCCTCAACTTCTGGGCTTTGATGCTGTCTTCAGGTAGATAGTGTGAGAACTGAATTGGAGGAGCCACACGCGGTGGCGCACACGTATAATCTCAACACTTTGGGAGGCCAAGGCGGGCAGATCACTTGAGGTCAGGAGTTCAAGACCAGTCTGGCCAACACGGTGAAACCCCATCTCTACTAAAAATACAAAAATTAACTGGACATGATGGCACGTACTTGTATTCCCAGCTACTGAAGCTAAGGCAGAATAGCTTAAACCCAGGAGGCGGAGGTTGCAGGTTGCAGTGAGCTGAGATCGCACCACTGTACTCTAGCCCGGGCGACAGCGTGAGACTCTGTCTCAAAAAGAAGAAAAGAATTGAATTGGAGGACACTAGCTGGTGTCTGCAGAACTGACTGCTCACTCACTGGTGGGAAGAAATCCTACATATTTTGAGGTCACAGGAGTCTTCTGTGTTAATTGGTGAGTATGAACATAGGAAAAAGCACTTTGAGTGTGTTTTTTCCACTGCAGGGTTCTAACTCTTCAATCTAATGATTGAAGGCCCAAAGATCTCTCTCCTAAAATCCATGTGACCTTTAACTGCAAGCCTCTAGGTCAACAAATGTTCAGAGAGCAGCTGTGGAATCAACTTAGTACTCTGGATTCTACAACCTTCTCTATTTTTTGACTTCTTGGCAATCATATTTTTAATTGTCAAGAATTTTTTGTTCATGGTTCCTTTCTCAATACTGTATCTTCCCAATACTAAAAAGTTCAGTTTCTTATTTTCTATATAAACTATTATCTCTGAGCTATTTGCTTTGCTTGTTTCAGTACCAGTCCTTTCTTTTACACTGTTAATTTTTCCTCTAATATCCAGTGTTTCCTCATTGTCTTCATCTTTTTAAATCCGGATTGTTCTGTACTGATGGCTGGTGAAAATCACTGCTTTACTTCCCTCAAGAGTCTCCCCCATCTCCATCAACCCCATAATGGAAGGCTATTGGATTTTGTGAGCAGACTCTGCTCTTAGTGTGGTAAAGAAGAGAGAGGAACAGACAGATTTTTCTTCAAGACTCATCAATTCCAGAGTCTTCTAATTACCTTGATACTGCTCACAGAGCCATTTCTCTGCCCTAGCCCTGACATCTCTAAGCTAGGTGAATTTGTAAGCAAGTCTACTTTTCTACTCAGAAACCAGATACTTTCCCCTATGTGTAGTACAAGCTGTTCAATACTAATGGTTTTCAGGAATCTAATCTTGTCAGCCTTACATCTTTCTAGAAAGCCTCAAAATTTTCTGGTTTATGATTTCATCTTTTCCTGTTTTCCAGAGCTGTTACAGAAGTATTTCTTATTCCTATATTTCTTTCCCACTGCAATCTGGACTCATTGCTATCATATTTGCCTTATTTTTTGAAAAATTCTTAGTATTTATCATATCATAGAAATTATGTCCTCAAAATGAAAAATTTCCCCTCCAAAATAGCAAGGACAGAAAATTGATGGAGCACTTCCTTAGAGGAGCCTCAAACATTTACTATCACATATCCAGAATTTCCTGTTTATCAAGCAAAAAGAAAAATCAAAAAACTCTCCAACAATTTAATTCATACTTCTGGTTCATCTCCTACTTAAAGCACAAGAAACTTCAAGATACAAATTCCTCTATCATGCACAATTTGTTTTAAATATTCTCTTTTATAAAAGTAATTAGCTACATTATAAAAATTTGCAATCTACATAGTTTTACAGATGAGGTAAATTAAAAATGTTTGGATGAGAAACAAATTTAGTGACAAATCAGGAAACTCAGACTATGAATCTGAAACCTGAGAACTATGCGAATTCTACCAACTATTTTTCTTCTTCACTCAAGTCTAAATGGCACTCAAACCAAAAGAACAAAGTATACTCCTTCTAACTTAACTTTCTACTAAAAGAAAATGTTTTATACTTATCTCTGCTATTAGATGGCAAATTCCACAAAGAAAATAAACTCCAGAATAGCATGCCCACTACAATCATGTGCCACACAACATTTCAATTAATAACAGGCCATATATGCAACAGTGGTTCCATAATGTCATAACGAAGCTGAAAAATTCCTACTGCCTAATGATGCTGTAGCTGTCATAATGTCATAGCACAATCACTTAACTTTTTTACAACTTTAGTGTAGCCTAAGTGCAGTGGTTATAAAGTCATATAGTAATGTCCCAGGACTTCACATTCACTCACCACTCACTCACTTAGAGCAACTTTCAGTCCTGCAAGCTAACTGCCCTAAACAAGTATACCATATTTGGGTGGGATGGGGGTGAGGGATAAAAGATTATACATTGGGTACAGTGTACACTGCTCAGGTAATGGGTACACCAAAAACTCAGAAATCACTACTAAAGAACTTATTCATGTAACCAAACAATACCTCTTCCCCAAAAACTTATTGAAATATAATTTTTAAAAGAACAGATTAAGCTAAAAAAATTATACCTTTTTTCTTTTACACTCTATTTTTACTGTACTTTTTCTATGTTTAGATACACAAATACTATTGTGTTACAACTGCTTACAGTATTCAGTACAGTAACATGCTGTATACTTTCGTAGCCTGGGACTAATAGGCTATGCTATATATAACCATATAGCCTAGGTGTGTGATAGGTAGCTATACCATCTCAGTTTGTGGTAAATACACACTATCATGTTCACACAATGACTAAATCACCTAACTACACATTTCTCAGAATATATCCCTGTTGTTGGCAACACACGACTGTACTTAATTTGCTATCCCCACAATTACCCTATTGAAAGGTTCCCCAGATACTCTCCTAAAGGCCTACCTTCTTTCTGAAGTCACTGAAATACAAAAGCATTGTGCCACAATTTCCATCTGGATACTCTAAAGAAGACATTTATGTCACTCTACAATGTTCACATAGATTAGCGACATCACTGAGTTAAATTCAAAAATAAAATATCCATTTCTTTGAGCTGGGTAAATGCGTAGTCTTCAATCAAATTATTCCTGTTTTAATGGTCATACTTAATAAAAAAAAAAAAACAGATGGCAAATTCAAGCCCTAAGCTCAGTATTTAGAATGAAACAAAAGACAATTATATCAATATCACTTATATATGCCAACCTAAAAAACACACTGGCTATACAGGTTCCCCAATTTACAACCTTTTAATGTTTTTACCAGGATGTTTTATAGTTAAAAAACTAAGTATCTATCACCGGTTTTCCCTGCTTTATTTATATGCAGGCCTGAACATTATGAATATAATGAACATTTGTAAACTGAAGAAGCAAGCTATTTAAAGGAATATCACAATCAATCCTTTTGTAAATTAACAGCCCCAAATAAATCCTAATTTTACTAAGGATTTATTTAAAAGTGGGGTTTGTTAAGATTAAAGAAAAAAATAAAACATAAGATTTAAAACAAGACGTGCCTTTGGTAACATCATTCTTTTCAGTACCCCAGGAAAGTTTTGTTTTTGTTTACCATTTTGGTATGGCAGGTTCACCAATTTCACAACTTTCCAAGATACCAATTTACTTCAAATATAATCAAGTACTCCTAAAAGTTTTCCATGGAATGAATTAATACAACCTTCATGGTCTCTAGGATGGTCAACCATAATTTATGTGAAATTCTTTGCTTCTTAAAAATCATTTAGTTTCAACATAAAAAATTTTTAAAAGCTGAAAATTTAAAGTACTTAATATTTCCACCCTCACCAATCTTTAGAACTAGAAATGGTACTTTAAAAGAGTAATACTTTTATGTGTAGCTTCACAAACACCCTGGTAAAAACACATACATATGTTAATACTCCAGTTTGAGAAGCAAGTTCATAGAGCATGCTGATAAAATTTGTAAAATATAGTTTATCTTCAATATGGCCCATCCTACCAACTTAAAAAAATGGTGACTGGTTAAAAAATCTAAGGAAGCAAATTTGTTTTAACGTTCAACAGATCTTAAGTGCAAATATGGAAACAAGCAGAATTACAAGAAAATGTGAATGAATGAATGGCTACTTTTTTTTAATGGTATAAATTTATATTCATTACACATATACTTGCTGAGACAACGTTCAGTGATTATTAGCAAAGTTATTATATACAACAACTTTACCTTTTCTAATACTTGTTTGTTAAATTAAAAACATCATGGCATTATGAATTATAAACCACAAAAACGACATAATGCACAGCATAAAATACCACATCTTTCCAAAAATCAAATATAATTAGTAGTAAAGACATAACGCATAAACACACCAGCAATGCTTTCAGGAAACAAAAGGCAGCATTAACAAAGGTGAAGAGGATAGAAGGTCTGGGTTCAAATCCCAACTTTGCCACTCAACAGCAGTATGACGTTGGGCAAGTTCTCTAACTTCTCTGTGCCTCAGTTTCCTGATTTGTAAAAAGAAATAATAATTGTACTTACTTCATGGAGTTATTGTAGTCATTAAATAAGTCAATATTTGTAAAACACAACTATACCTGGCACACAAGTGCTTTATGTGTCTAATACACAGAATCTTTTTTTTTTTTTGAGACGGAGTCTCTCACTCTGTGGCCCAGGCTGGAGTGCAGTGGCACGATCTCGGCTCACTGCAACCTCTGCCTCCTGGGTTCAAGCAATTCTCCTGCCTCAGCCTCCTGAGTAGCTGGGACTACTAGCACCCACCACCACACCCAGATAATTTTTGTATTTTTAGTAGAGACGGGGTTTCACCATATTGGCCAGGCTGGTCTCAAACTCCTGACGTGAAGTGATCCACTGCCTCGGCCTCCCAAAGTGCTGGGATAATAGGCGTGAGCCACTGCGCCTGGTTTTTGTTTGTTTGTTTTTTAATTGAGACAGTTATCTCGCCCCCGTACCCTCACAAGCTCACTGCTGCCTCCCGCTTCTGGCCTCAATCCGCCCACCTCAACCTCCTGAGTAGCCGAGGCTACAGGCTCGCACCACCATGCTGGGCTAATTTTCTTGGGGTTTTTTTTTGTAGAGACCACATTGCACAGGCTGGTGTGGAAATTCTGGGCTCAAACCATCCACCCGCCTCAGCCTCCTCCCAAGGTGCTGGAGTAACAGGCATGAGCCACTGCACCCAGCAAGGAACAATGTCTTAATTCCAAGGGAATGTTTCCCTTTATCACCAACCTTCATCAATCCTTAGCTCCATGGTTACTAACTACCCCCCCCACCAACACACACACAGTTGGCGTGTTCACATAGATTAGCGACATCACTGAGTTAAATTCAAAAATAAAATATCCATTCCTTTGAGCTGGGTAAATGCATAGTCTTCAATCAAAAAATATGCATCCCTTACTAAGATTACCAAATAAATATTTTCACGTCCACCAATACAAAATATTGGTATCTGTTTATAACTGCATGAAAGAAGCCTTTACTAATTACTGAATAGGACATTGGTATTCATTTATAATTGCATGAAAGAAGGCTTTATTAATTACTGAATAGGACACTGTAAAAATATTTCTATAATTGTAGAATTTTTATAGAAACCTATAATGCATTAAATTCCCATTATTACATGTATTTTGGCCAAATTAATGATGCCAAAACTAGTAAATTCTACAAAATTGCAATCATGTTTTCATCATTTATGATTTGTCCATATTTTGGAAGAGTGTGTAACAATACAAAGAAGGCTCTTATACATCTCAAGGCTACCTTTCAATATAACCAGGTATATAATACCCTTTAAAATAAAAGTTACATTTTGGTCATTAAAAAACCATGTTATGCCACATCTGACACGCTTCATTATTTCAAGCTCCACCTAAGCTATGACAAGGTCCCAAGGAGGAAAAACAGAGACCAGTTTAAAAACGTTTTATTTTTAAACTACATTTAAAATTGTAACTTTACCACAAAACGCTGGATTAGTAAATTAAAAACTAATTCCATAATTACTGCAAGTAATCAATGCTGAATAATCAACATGGTCTGGGAAACATGGCAAAACCCCGTCTCTACAAAAAACACAAAAGTGGCTAGGCGTGGTGGTGCACACCAGTGGTCCCAGCTACTCGGGAGGCTGAGGTGGGAGAATCGCTTGAGCCTGGGAGGCAGAGGTGGCAGTGAGCCAAGATTGCGGCAGGGCACTCTAGCCTGGATGACAGAGCAGGGAAAAATAAGGTAATCAATAGATATTTACTAAGTGGATACCAACAACCCACGACTGTGCTAAATATACAGATTCCTCTTAAATGAAAAGCTGAAGTCTGAAGTAAAAGGCAAAGTTACCTTTGTATAAGGCATGAAGATTACAGTGAAACTTCCTCCCACCCAAAATTGATTTTCTATGAGATGAATATAACATCTCTCTTCAGAAAATTTTCTTTGTATTTATTAAGAGAAACCACCGGAAAACACCCTGAGGTGCTTGTTAACAGTGCAGACTCCTGGGTCCTAATTAATACCTACTGAACCAGAATATGCAGGAATCTATGTTTCATAAACACTGAAGTTCAAGTACACTAAGCAAAAATGTACTGAGAACCCAACAGATTCCAGGCATTGTGCTAGGAATGGGAGACTACTAAAATGTTAGTTTCAGTAAATCTCACTTGGGAAGACAAGTAAAGGCTACTTAACCTCATATACAATTCAAAAAGGCAGAAATCGTGTCTTATTCATTATTGAATAACTGCTGTCTGCTAGCTTTTTTTTTTTTTTGAGACGGAGTCTCGCTCTGTCACCCAGGCTGGAGTGCAGTGGCGCCATCTAGGCTCACTGCAAGCTCCACCTCCTGGATTCACGCCATTCTCCTGCCTCAGCCTCCAGACTAGCTGGGACTACAGGCACCCGCCACCACGCCTGGCTAATTTTTTGTATTTTTAGTAGAGACGGGGTTTCACCATGTTAGCCAGGATGGTCTCAATCTCCTGACCTCGTGATCCGCCCGCCTTGGCCTCCCAAAGTGTTGGGATTACAGGCGTCAGCCACCGCGCCCAGCCGCTGTCTATCTTAATGGTATATTTCAAACATGGGCTGGTGATGAACAATTTTGTTTATCTATACTACTTTACCCCTCCATTTCTCTGAATAATTTTGGGAACCGACAGGAAAGAAATGTAAAGGTTTGAATAGGCTTTACTCATATTATGCTGATGAACCATATACGTTATTATTCAGATCAGCCATTCTGAAAAATTCAGAACAAAAAATTTTCCACGAACTCAGAAGTCATGCCCCAGTGTAAAATATCCGTAAGCACTTGAAAATAACTCAACAAATGGCAACCTGTCATATGATGATACTTTAATATGTGGGCTCTGATATTTTACATATTGCTTAGTCATTTACAGGAATTTTACATTACAGATTAATAATTATCCTCACTATATAAATGGGAGAGTTGAGAATACACTGTTTGCACAAGACCACATACTGATATAAAAGTTAGGTATCTTTACCTTCTTGTTAATGTCTAATTAGTAGGCTACTTTCCCTGAAAATAAGTGCTCCTAAACAGTAAAATTACTATCATATTAATTAATACATGAATAAATCTCACTGAATAACAAAATGCATTAAAGTCAAGGCAAGAATGCCTGCTATGAGCACTATTGTTTAACACTGTACTGGTGACCTTAGCTAATGCAAAGGAAAAGAAAGAGAAATAGCAAGTACAAAGCTATAAAAATACTTGCAGAAGCTTTTATCATCTACCTATAAAGTCCAAGAGTATGCCTTAAAAGACTGATGAATAACAGAGTTCAACACCAGTATTTGAAAATCAACACTTACCTATAACTGAGCAATAACCAATTAGGAAATTATATGGTAAAAATGATCATATTCATGGTTAAGCAATAAGCTTAACCAAAACCGATTAAGACCAAGAAGAAAAAAATCATAAAACATAATCTAAGCACATAAAAATGTAAAACTGTGTATAAAATGTATACATACACATCAAGACAATAAGTAAAATGGAAAAAATCTGCAATACATATGATTAAAGGTAATTTTCTTAATGTACAATGAACTCTTAGTTCACTAAGAAAAAACATTTTTTTAAATGAGCAAATGATGTGAGGAAACAATTCATTAAATGAATATGCAACCCACTTAGAACAGTGCCTAGCCCATGTAAGTGCTCAATAAATGTTATTTGTTATAATAAACGGCTGACGAATGTTAAAACAGGTTTAATCTCACTCATGATTTTAAAAATAGCAAAACATTCATACTGGCAAAAATAATGCAGTTGATATAATCCAGTGTTGGTGCTGAGAAATATGCATTTGCATACACTAAAAGTGGGAATATAACGTTGGTTCAACATTTTTAAAGTGGAAACTAAAAACGTCTGTCAATTTGAAATTGCATACCCTAGCAATTCCATGGCTGGAAATTATTCTTACAGACATAAACACAAGAATACAAAAATAAATCTCTAAGAACATACTGTATTAGTTACACTAGCAAAATGAAAATTATTATAATCAAAATGCTTATGAATAGGGGGTGATTAAATAAAACCACAGTACTTCCATACAATGACAGACAATGAAGCCTTTAAAAATAGGTGAAGTAGGGGCTGGACGCGGTGGCTCACGCCTGTAATCCCAGCACTTTGGGAGGCTGAGGCGGGCGGATCACAAGGTCAGGAGATCGTAGCCATCCTGGCTAACATGGTGAAACCCCGTCTCTACTAAAAATACAAAAAGAAATTAGCCTGGTGTGGTGGCGGGCGCCTGTAGTCCCAACTAGTCGGGAGGCTGAGGCAGGAGAATGGCGTGAACCCTGGAGGCGGAGCTTGCAGTGAGCCAAGATAGCGCCACTGCACTCCAGCCTGGGCGACAGAGCGAGACTCCATCTCAAATAAATAAATAAATAAATAAATAAAATAAAAATAGGTGAGGTAGATCAATAGAATTTCTTATGAAAGGATTTCCATGATACATTACAAAGTGGAAAAAAGTAAAAGATACAAAAGAGTGAAGAATACTAGAGCATCATTCTGTGTGATAAAAGGAAAGGTAAATTCTACACACACATTTATATAAATTGAAAGGTTTTCTGGAATATAGCAGTAAATCAAGACTAGGGTGCTTGATTGAATAAGGCCATGAAGCACATACACATCCATACATGAATACTAATGGTGGTTATGGATTTGGGGTGTGAGCTTGAAAGAAAGACTTGTATTTCATTTTATGCTCTTCTGTACTGTTTGATTCTTTCTCCATGTGCATGTATCACGTTCATTAATTTTTTGGGAAAGATATATCCTTGCATAAGAACACTCAACACTGTAAAGATATTAGCCCTTTCAAAACCCAACAGGATGTTTTAATAGAATATGAATAGAATGCTATGAATATTCTATGAATAGAATGCTATGAATATTCTATGAATAGAATAGAATCTACAATCAGTCTGGAAAAGTGTATCAAAACAGCTATGACAAATCTAAAACAGAAGGATGAGAGGGGATTTTTCCAAAATTATCAAAATATATAAAGAAACTATTGTAACTGTAACAGTGGCATACTGACACAAGAGTTAATAAACAGATCGCAAGGGGAATAATGAAATAAAGAATCTAGAAAAAGATTTCTACATACATGAAAACTTTAATACATGACTAACACAGAATTTTTAATCAGTGAAGATAACTAGATAGATATCTGGGGGGAAAAAAACTAAGACAACTTACCGCCTACCACACAAAAAGAAATTCCATATAGAAAATATACCAAAAGTTAAAAAAAAAAAAAAAAGAAAAACCAAGCTTCTGAAGAAATTTAAACTCTACTTTCTTCTTATAAATATTAGAATGAAGAGAGTCTTAATTTAGTAAAAAGACAGTTTTTTAAAACAGGTGACTAAAAATTGAAAATTGTGCTAATAACAAGATAGCATAAATCATTAGAGCAATAATAATTATAAAAGCTAGCACTTACTAAAGATCAGAAAGTTATATGCTGTTTGTAATTAATAATTTATTTAATCCTCACAATAATCTCTTGAGGTGTACCACCACTAATCCCACTTTACCAATGAAGAAACTGATGTACAAAGATTAGGCATATTCCCAAAGAAGTGGCAGAGCTAGAATTTAGCCTGTCTGGTGCAAGTCTGCATTCTCAATCACTATAGTGGTTCCACAGCCAACTTATATAGTGCTCAACAACAAACTTAAAAATACTGTTAACATTTACAAAGTTAAAATACAAAAACAGGCAATGCAATAGAAAAAAATGGGCAAAGGTTATGAACAGGTAATTGACCCAAAAAATTCAGATGGCTAAGAAATAAAAAATGTTAAGAAATGCAAATAGTAACAGCAAGGCGTTACTAGTCTTTACCCCCCACTGGCAAATATTTCAGGGATTATTTGTACCTTTTGTTGGCAAAGTTATGAGAAAACAGGTACTCATATAAAACTGATGTGGGTATAAACCTTTTCGGCCATTTTGAAGGGTCATTTGGAAGTTTTACTTAAGTGTTAAATATGCACTGCCTCAGACCCAACATCATTTGTAGGAATCTCACAAAAAATCCTCACACATACACACAAGGGTAACAAACATATTCACTGCAACCTTGCTTGCAATTTTGGAAAAAAACTAATAGTTCATTAAAGACAAAATAATTTATAGTAAATAAATTTAAATAAGTTATAGTAAAACATACACAGCCATTTAAAAAATAATGAGATCATCAAAAAATAGTTTTAAGTGAGAAAAAAACAAGCCTCAAAGCACCATGTACAATAATAAATTTTTACACTAAAAGCTAACAAAATACTATATATGAGTACATATATTAATAGTATATTTGTAAAAGCATAAGACGCAACATGACTAAGAGCACAGATCTTAATGCCAGACTGTCTAGGTTAACCATACAATTAGTTAACCTCTCTAGGCCTCAATTCCCAATATTATTATTTACTTCATAGTGTTTTTGCCTCTTCATATAAACTCTCTTCTATTTGTTAATCCTTAGAACAATGTCTGACACAATGGTGCATTAAATAAACTAAAAATGCATAAAGTGTGGGAAGATAATCACCTAATTTTTAACAGTATTTATTCATTAGGAATTGGGTGTTTAGGGAAGGAGAAGCTATCATTTTTTAACTGTATGTTTTCATATCTTTTTAATGCTTTATAATGACTATGATCTGATGTATTTCTTTGTTTTATAAAAATACAACAAAATATAAATAGCTACAAATGTACAGCAGTGTCACCTCTACTGATTTCCAGTACTGTTATGTCATCACACAACATAAATCAATGTCCAGGAAAAAAATTAGATTTATCATTTTAATATATCTTTTTAAAGTATTTGTAATTAATACAACCAACATTTAAGGGAAAGTTACTTTTTACTTGTAACTAATTAGAATCCATTTTAAGAAACAATTACTGAGTCTCAAGTTGCTAACATTAATTTACAGATACAATTCAGATGTCAGCATATTTAAGCAATTTTTCATCGTCAAAGTAAGCATCCAAGCCATATGCACACTGAGATACTACATATTGTACTTACTTTTAAATAAAAAGTACTTCATATAGCATGTCAGAAATAAAACCAGAGAAATCTAGAGAGATCTGTCTCACAGAGAGAGAAAGACATGCATGAAATATTTAAGAGAATGTTACAACCCTATTTAGGAAAAAGACATGTTTTATGAAACATTAAAGAGTCATATTTAGCCAGTCATAGCATTCCATGAACATAGTTAAGCTGTCTTTAAAATCCCAGGCTAGAGCTGTTAGCAAGTTATATATAGCCAAAACTAAATTAGGAGTGTTAACTTCACTATGTCTGGTGAACTAAAAAGCAAATCATGGATAACCTGATATCTAAATTTGAGTATGTGGAAGAAGATAAGAAAACGATATATCTATGCCTATCTCTCATCCTAAAAGTTGGCTGTCTTTCATCTATTTAATTTGCTCCCCAAAAGTATACAAAGAATCCTGGTAATGACCATTTGAACTACTAAACAGAAAGATCAGAAAATTCTTCATTCAGCTGATTAAGTACTGGCAATTCCAAAGAGTCTGACCACAAGTCCTTTGGAGGGAGGGAGGGAGGGAAGGAAGGTGAGCCATTTCCTTAAAACCTTTTTTTGATTAAAAATAAAATTCTGGCTCATACCTGTAATCCCAGCACTTTGGGAGGCCAAGGCAGGCAGATCCTCTGAGGTCAGGAGTTCGAGACCAGCCTGGCCAACACTGGAAAACTCTGTCTCTGCTAAAAATACAAAAATTAGCTGGTCATGGTGGTGTGTGCCTGTAGTCCTAGCTACTCAGTGGGGCTAAGTCAGGAGAATCGCTTGAACCCGGGAGGCAGAGGTTGCAGCTAGCCGAAATCACGCCACTGCACGTCAGCCTGGGCATCACCACAAGACTCCATCTCAAAAAAAAAGAAATTAAATTAAAAAATAAAATTCATAATGGCTCTTTCACCAACTAAACCCTGAAAGAATCAAAAATTAGAAGAGTATAGGCTGGGCACAGTAACTCATGCCTATAACCCCAGCACACTGGGAGGCTGAAGCAGATGGATGGTTTGAGCCTAGGCATTTGAGACCAGCCTGGGCATCATAGCAAGATCCTGTCTCTACAAAAAATAAAAAAATAGCCACAAGTGGTAGCAAGTTTCCGTAGTCCTAGCTACTCCAGAGGCTGAGCTAGGAGTGGAAGGATGGTTTAAGCCCTGGAGTTGGAGGCTGCAGTGAGCTAAGATCGCATCACTGTACTCCAATCTAGGTGACCTGAAGGAAAATCAGGTTACAATACTTTGCAAGTAAAATCTGCAAGGAAAAAAAGTACTATTTCTTAGCTCCCTCCTCCCACTGTGTCAATCAGTGTTTCAAAGAATGACCTGGCTTAGTGTATTTCATCACTTAATTAGAAACAGAACAGTAATTTGCATTTAGTTGCCTGTCTTACATTAAGAAAGAAACTCAATGGTGTTCCAATCAATAACAGAAAGTATCGATAAATTACATTGTTGAGTATCTGAAAAGAGAAGGCCACTTAGTACAAAGGTAAATTATTTTAGAATAGGAATATCAATAGTCAGAAAAACACATTAAACAACATATTCTTCAATTACCACCCAGTGAAGAAATTGCTTTTACTGTGTCTGGGTGATTTGTATCTAGAACCTCTCTGAATACTTTCAATGACAGCAAATTCACTGTCAGAGTCCACTTCATTCAGAAGTAATTAAAATTTTTTAAATTTTTTCTTATATTGTTCTAAAATCAGATTCCCACAACTTTGACACGATGCTCCAAATTGTTGCTTTCAGCCCTTAAAGTCACTGAAGTTACCCATCTTGCCCCCATATCCTTTCTTTTTCTAAACTATGGATCATGATAAACTGTAATTATTTTAATAAATTCAATAAAAAGTATTTTGACTAGGCTAGGCATGATGGGGGAAGGAGGAAAGCCTCAAATATTACAAGACACAAAAACCTGAATTTCAAAACAAATTCAACATACTATATATGTTCAATTCTATGATGCGTTTTTTCCCCTAACATGTTAACTTCTCTGAAATTGGCAGATGGCTTACAATTAAAGACATTTATAGTTGCTACTGAAGAGGTGGTGACAATGACAGTTCTCTCTGCCTGTATAAGAACTTAGTTGTTTTTTCCAGTGATATAACTGGACAATTGCAACCTCTCAACATTCCAGGCAACAATCCATTTAACGAACAGTTGAAGAAAGAATATGAGCTAGCAACTGTCTGAAAACCTTTCATTAACATCATCCGGTAACATGAAGAAAGTGCCAGCATTAACACTTACAGAAACCAGTATCAATGGTTAAGAAGAAAATCCCAGATCAAAGTACAGTGGATGAAGTATGCTATATCATCAACTTTCCTAACTGCACAGAAAAGATACTCTGTGGAAAAACAGACAACTCTGGGTAAGAAAAAAATGATTGAGAAGAATTGGGCTCTGGAGCAAGACAGCCGAATAGGAACAGCTCCGGTCTGCAGCCCCCAGCGAGATCAATGACGGTTGATTTCTGCATTTCCAACTGAGGTACCTGGCTCATCTCACTGGGACTGGTTGACAGAGGGAGGGCGAGCAGAAGCAGGGTGGGGCATCACCTCACCCAGAAAGCACAAGGGGTCGGAGAACTCCCTTCCCTAGCCAAGGGAAGCCATGAGGGACTGTGCCATGAGGAATGGTGCATTCCAGCCTGGATACTACGCTTTTCCCATGGTCTTCGCAACCTGCAGACCAGCAGATTCCCTTGGTTGCCTACACCACCAGGGCCCTGGGTTTCAAGCACAAAACTGGGTGGCTGTTTGGGCAGACACCGAGCTAGCTGCAGGAGTTTTTTTTCATACCCCAGTGGCGCCTGGAACGCCAGCAAGACCGTACTGTTCATTCCCCTGGAAAGGGGGCTGAAGCCAGGGAACCAAGTGGTCTAGCTCAGCAGATCCCACCCCCACGGGGTCCAGCAAGCTAAGATCCACTGGCTTGTAATTCTTGCTGCCAGCACAGCAGTATGAAGTGGACCTGGGATGCTCAAGCTTGGTGGGCGGGTGGGGAGGGAGAGTAGCTGCCATTACTGAGGCTTGAGGAGGCAGCTTTCCCCTTACAGTGTAAACAAAGCGCCAGGAACTTCAAACTAGGCGGAGTCCACTGCAGCTCCGCAGAGCCGCTGTAGCCATACTGCCTCTCTAGATTCCTCCTCTCTGGGCAGGGCATCTCTGAAAGAAAGGCATCAGCCCCAGTCAGGAGCTTACAGGTAAAACTCCCAACTCCCTGGGATAGAGTACCTGGGGGAAGGGGCGGCTGTGAGCGCAGCTTCAGCAGAAGTAAACATTCCTGCCTGCTGGCTCTAAAGAGAGCAGCGGATCTCCCAGCACAGCCCTCACACTCTGCTAAGGGACAGACTGCCTCCTCAAGTGGGTCCCTGACCCTTTTACCTCTTGACTAGGTGACACCTCCCAGCCGGGGTCGACAGACACCTCATACAGGAGAGCTCCGGCTGGCATCTGGCAGGTGCCCTTCTGGGACAAAGCTTCCAGAGGAAGGAACAGGCAGCAATCTTTGCTGTTCTGCAGCCTCTGCTGGTGATACCCAGGCAAACCGGGTGTGCAGTGGACCTCCAAGAAACTCCAGCTGACCTGCAGCAGTGGGGCCTGACTGTTAGAAGGAAAATTAACAAACAGAAAGGAACAGCATCAACATCAACAAAAAGGACGTCCACATCACGAAGATGAGGAAAAACCAATGCAAAAAGGCTGAAAATTCCGAAAACCAGAATGCCTCTTCTCCTCCCAAGGATCACAACTCCTCGTCAGCAAGGGAACAAAATGGGACAGAGAATGAGTTTGACAAATTGACAGAAGTAGGCTTCAGAAGGTGGGTAATAACAAACTCCTCCAAGCTAAAGAAGCATGCTCTAACCCAATGCAAGGAAGCTAAGAAACTTGAAAAAAGGTTAGAGGAATTGCTAACTAGAATAACCAGTTTAGAGAAAAACAGAAATGACCTGATGGAGCTGAAAAACACAGCACGAGAACTTCGTGAAGCATATACAAGTATCAATAGCCGAATCGATCAAGCGGAAGAAAGGATATCAGAGATTGAAGATCAACTTAATGAAATAAAGAGTGATGACAAGATGAGAGAAAAAAAGAATGAAAAGGAATGAACAAAGCCTCCAAAAAATATGGGACTATGTGAAAAGACCAAACCTACGTTTGATTGGTGTACCTGAAAGTGAAGGGAGAATGGAACAACTTGGAAAAGGACTCTCCTGTATGAGGTGTCTGTCGACCCCTGCTGGGAGGTGTCACCTAGTCAGGAGGCACAAGGGTCAGGGACCCACTTGAGGAGGCAGTCTGTCCCTTAGCAGAGCGTGAGCGCTGTGCTGGGAGATCCACTGCTGTCTTTAGAGTCAGCAGGCAGGAATATTTACTTCTGCTAAAGCTGCACTCACAGCCGCCCCTTCCCCCAGGTGCTCTTATTATGTGTCCCAAGACACATAATTGTCAGATTTACCAAGGTTGTAATGAATGAAAAAATGTTAAGGGGAGCCAGAGAGAAAGGTCAGGTTACCCACAAAGGGAAGCCCATCAGACTAACAGCAGATCTCTCTGCAGAAACCCTACAAGCCAGAAGAGAGTGGGGGCCAATATTCAACGTTCTTAAAGAAAAGAATTTTCAACCTGGAATTTCATATCCAGCCAAACTAAGCTTCATAAGTGAAGGAGAAATAAAATCCTTTACAGACAAGCACATGCTGAGAGACTTTATCACCATCAGGCCTGCCTTACAAGAACTCCTGAAGGAAGCACTAAATATGGAAAAGGAAAAACCGGTACCAACCACTGCAAAAACATACCAAATTGTAAAGACCATCAACACTATGAAGCAACTGCATCAATTAACAGGCAAAATAACCAGCTACCATCATAATGACAGGATCAAATTTACACATAACAATATTAACCTTAAATGTAAACAGGCTAAATGCCCCGATTAAAAGACACAGACTGGCAAATTGGATAAAGAGTCAAGACTCATCAGTGTGCTGTATTCAGGAGACCCATCTCACATGCAAAGACACACATAGACTCAAAAGGATGGAGGAAGATTTAACGAGCAAATGGAAAGCAAAAAAATAAAACAGGGGTTGCAATCCTAGTCTCTGATAAAACAGACTTTAAACCAACAAAGATCAAAAAAGACAAAGAAGGGCATTACATAATGGTAAAGGGATCAATGCAACAAGAAGAGCTAACTATGCTAAATATATATGAACCCAATACAGGTGCACCCAGATTCATAAAGCAAGTTCTTAGAGACCTATAAAGAGACTTAGACTCCCACACAGTAATAGTGGGAGACTTTAACACCCCACTGTCAATATTAGACAGATCAACAACACATAAAATTAACAAGGATATTCAGGGCTTGAACTCAGCTCTGGACCAAGTGGACCTAATAGACATCTACAGAACTCTACACCCCAAATAAACGGAATATACATTCTTCTCAGCACCACATCCCACTTATTCTAAAATTGACCGCATAATTGAAAGTAAAACACTCCTCAGCAAATGCAAAAGAATGGAAATCATAACAAGCAGTCTCTCAGACCACAGTGCAATCAAACTAACACTCAGGATTAAGAAATTCACTCAAAACCACACAACTACATGGAAACTAAACAACCTGCTCCTGAATGACTACTGGGTAAATAACAAAATTAAGGCAGAAATAAATGACTTCTTTGAAACCAATGAGAACAAAGACACAACATACCAAAATACCTGGGACACAGCTAAAGCAGTGTTTAGAGGGAAATTTATAGCACTAAATGCCCACAGGAGAAAGTGGGAAAGATCTAAAATCAAAGAACTAGAGAAGCAAGAGCAAACAAATTCAAAAGCTAGCAGAAGACTAGAAATAACTAAGATCAGAGCAGAACTGAAGGAGATACAGACACGAAAAACCCGTCAAAACATCAATGAATCCAGGAGCTGGTGTTTTGAAGACTAACAAAATAGATAGAACGCTACCCAGACAAATAAAGAAGAAAAGAGAGAAGAATCAAACAGACAATAAAAATGATAAAGGGGAGATCACCAGTGATCCCACAGAAATACAAACTACTATCACAGAATACTATAAACACCTCTATGCAAATAAACTAGAAAATCTAGAAGAAATGGAGAAATTCCTAGACACATACACTGTCCCAAGACCAAACCAGAAAGAAGTCAAATCCCTGAATAAACCATAACAAGTTCAGAAACTGAGGCAGTAATTAATAGCCTACTAACCAAAAAAAGCCCAGGACCAGACAATTAACAATTGAATTCTACCAGAGTCACAAAGAGGAGCTGGTACCATTCCTTCAGAAACTATTCCAAACAACAGAAAAAGAGGGACTCTCCCTAACTCATTTTATGAGGACAGTCATCATCCTGATACCAAAACCTGGCAGAGACACAACAAAAAAAGAAAATTTCAGGCAATATCCCTGATGAACATCAATGTGATAATCCTCAATAAAGTACTGGCGAACCGAATTCAGCAGCATATCAAAAAGCTTATCCACCACGATCAAGTTAGCTTCATCCCTGTGATGCAAGGCTGGTTCAACATATGCAAATCAATAAACATAATCCATCACATAAACAGAACCAACAACAAAAACCACATGATTATCTTAATAGATACAGAAAATTTAACACCACTTCATGCTAAAAACTCTCAATAAGCTAGGTACTGATGGAATGTATCTCAAAATAGTAAGAGCTATTTATGACAAACCCACAGCCAATATCATACTGAATGGGCAAAAGCTGGAAGCATTTTGAAAACCAGCACAAGACAAGGATGCCCTCTCTCACCACTCCTATTCAACATAGTATTGAAAGTTCTGGCCAGGGCAATCACGCAAAAGAAAGAAATAAAGGGTATTCAAATAGGAAGAGAGGAAGTCAAATTGTCTCTGTTTGCAGATGACATGATTGTACATTTAGAAAACCCCATCATCTCAGCCCCCAAATTTCCTAAAGCTGATAAGCAACTTCAGCAAAGTCTCAGAATACAAAATCAATGTGCAAAAATCACAAGCATTCCTATACACCAATAATAGCCAAATCATGAGTGAACTTCCATTCACAACTGCTACAAAGAGAATAAAATACCTAGGAATACAACTTACAAGGGATGTGAAGGACCTCTTCAGGGAAAACTACAAACCACTGCTCAAGGAAATAAGAGAGGACACAAACAAATGGAAAAACATTCCACGCTCATGGATAGGAAGAATCAGTATCGTGAAAATGGCCATACTACCCAAAGTAATTTATAGATTCAATACCATCCCCATCAAGCTACCACTGACTTTCTTCACAGAATTGGAAAAAACTACTTTAAATTTCATATGGAATCAAAAAACAGCCCGCATAGCCAAGACAATCCTAAGCAAAAAGAACAAAGCTGGAGGCATCATACTACCTGACTTCAAACTATACTAGAAGGCTACAGTAACCAAAACAGCATGATACTGGTGCTAAAACAGATATATAGACCAATAATACAGAACAGAGGGCTCAGAAATAATGCCACACATCTACAGCCATCTGATCTTTGACAAACCTGACTAAACAAGCAATGGGGAAAGGATTCCCTATTTAATAAACAGTGTTGGGAAAACTGGCAAGCCATATGCAGAAAACTGAAACTGGACCCCTTCCTTACACCTTATACAGAAATTAACTCAAGATAGATTAAAGACTTAAATGTAAGACCTAAAACCATAAAAACCCTAGAATAAAACCTAGAAGAATACCATTCAGGACATAGGCATGGGCAAAGGCTTCATAACTAAAACATAAAAAGCAATGGCAACAAAAGCCAAAATTGACAGATGGGATCTAATTAAACTAAAGAACTTCTGCACAGTAAAAGCAACTATCATCAGAGTGAACAGACAACCTACAGAATGGGAAACAATTATTTCAATCTATCCATCTGACAAAGGGCTAATATCCAGAATCTACAAGGAACTTAAACAAATTTACAAGAAAGAAACAACCCCATCAAAAAGGGCGAAGGATATGAACAGACACTTCTCCAAAGAAGACATTTATGCAGCCAACATACATATGAAAAAAAGCTCATCATCACTGGTCACTAGAGAAATGCAAATCAAAACCACAATGAGATACTATCTCACGCCAGTTAGAATGGTGATCATTAAAAAGTCAGGAAACAACAGATGCTGGAGAGGACATGGAGAAATAGGAAGACTTTTACATTGTGGAAGACAGTGTGGCGATTCCTCAAGGATCTAGAACCAGAAATATCATTTGGCCCAGCAATCCCATTACTGGGTATATACCAAAGGATTATAAGTCATTCTACTATAAAGACACATGCACACATAGGTTTATTGCAGCACTAGTCACAATATTGGAACCAACCCAAATGCCCATCAACGACAGAGTGGATAAAGAAAATGTGGCACATATACAGTATGGAATATGATGCAGCCATAAAAAAGAATGAGTTCATCTCTTTTGCCGGGACATGGATGAAGCTGGAAACCATCAATCTCGGCAAACTAACACAGGAACAGAAAACCAACCACCACATGTTCTCACTCATAAGTGGAAGTTGAAAAATGAGAACACGTGGACACAGGGAGGGGAACATCACACATCAGGGCCTGTCGGTGGGTGGGGGAGGGCTACGGGAAAGATAGCATTAGGAGAAATACCTAATGTAGATGACGGGTTGATGGGTGCAGCAAACCATGGCACATGTATACCTCTGTAACAAAACTGCATGTTCTGCACACGTATCCCAGAACTTAAAGTATAATTAAAAAAAAAAAAAAAAGAATTGGGCTCTGAGTACAAAGACATTTTAGGAATAATTTAATCAATTTATTTCACTTATACTTTCAACGTATGTTCAAAGATGATACATGATAAAACTGAGTAAATGTAAAATAATTTTTATATTTACTGAGTTTTATATTTGCATTTATTGAAAGAAATAATACTTTATTCTAAGAAAGCACTGTGTAATAGTTTAATTGGCAATGCTTTCTCTTTTCATTCCTCCTCAATGGAATATAAAATGTGTATCTTACAGCTGCTTCAACAGAACATGGAAGCTCGAGGAAGTTCTGTGTGCAATTGATATGGGTTAAATTACTAGCTATTCGCCAAAATCACTTTCCAGTTCCATCCTCTTCCTATAACATATAACTACTTTACATTTCTCAGCCTCTCTTTCAATTAAATATGGCCGTATGACTGAGATCTAGCCCAAGACATGTAAGTCAAAACAGGTGTACCATTGTACTTCCAAGTCTAGCTCATAACAGCCTCCAACTCAGTCCTTCCCTTTCCCCTTCCCCCTAAGGTTCTCCAGGGCAACATGTTAAAGACATTCAACTCTGTCTCTGAAAGACTACGTGAAGCAGAATGTCCCCCAGCCCCAACACACAAACACTCCTATACCTCTACCACCTCTTCACTGATACTAATCATGTATACCCACTCTGGACTGTCAGGTAAACTAGAAATAAACTTTATTGGGTTAAGCCACTTAACTTGAGGGTTTGTTATATCACCTAGTTCTAGCCAAACTTAACACAGTTGCTTTTCACATTATAAATTATTAAGTTCAAGGAAAATAGTGAAATAGGAAGCTCTGAGGTTTTGTTCCCCACAGAGAAACATCAAAAAACAAAGAGAAACTGCCTGAACAAACTTTGTTGAAGTGCTGGAAAACAGTCAAAGAGCAGGAAAGTTCTGTAGCTTTGTAGTTCTAACCCTTCTGGGGGATACCTAAAGGCCTGAGTAAGACTTTCATTTCTATTTAGCCTAACACAAAACTCAGGTGAAAAAGAGCAGCAGGCCCTGCTCTTAAAGTTCCAAGGCCGCTACAGACTCACAGACCCCTGGGACAATACAAAAGACTAGGTAAGGCCCTAAAGAGAAGATAAGGTGAGGCTCTTTGGGAAATAAGAATATTCAAAAGCTCTGGGCGTGGTGGCTCACGCCTGTAATCCCAGCACTTTGGGAGGCGAAGGTAGGCGGATCACGAGGTCAAGAGATCGAGAGCATCCTGGCTAACACGGTGAAACCGCGTCTCTACTAAAAATACAAAAAATTAGCTGGGCATGGTGGTGGGCGCCTGTAGTCCCAGCTACTCGGGAGGCTGAGGCAGGAGAATGGTGTGAACCTGGGAGGCGGAGCTTGCAGTGAGCCGAGATGGCGCCACTGCACTCCAGCCTGGGCAACAGAGCAAGACTCCATCTCAAAAAAAAAAAAAAAAAAAAGAATATTCAAAAGCAGTTGTGTATACAGGGGAATTTAGAAAGTCACGTACATGACCAAGCAAGATTCATGCTCAGAAAATACCTAAGAAGATGATCCCTATGTTCAAAAGAAGCCTACTTAAGAGATGAAAGAGTAACCCATCACAGAGCTAACTGCAAAAACTGGGAGAACTCCTGAGGAAATCTCTGTAACTTAAGCTGAACACACACTAAAGGAACAGAATTCAATAATCACACACAACAAGGACTAGTCTTTGCAAAAATTGTTTGGAAAGTCTCAGGACAAATGGACTACTACAGCCTTCAACAAGTACTCAATCAATCAATAAATAAAACGAAAAACAACAAACCCAGAAGAAGGGAGAAATCTGATTCCCAGAGTTACCACATAATAGTCAAATGTCTGATTTTCAACAAAAGAGAAAACAATGGCCCATTCAAAGGAACAATTAAGATGACAAACAAGCCCAGACAATGGACTTATGGACTTTTTAAATTTAATTTTATTTTTTTTGAGATGGAGTTTCACTCTTGTTGCCCAGGCTGGAGTGCAAGGGTGCGATCTCGGCTCACTGCAGCCACCACCTCCCAGGTTCAAGTGATTCCCCTGCCTCAGCCTCTCGAGTAGCTGGGATTACAGGCATGTGCCACCACGACTGGCTAATTTCTGTATTTTTAGTAGGGACGGGGTTTCTCCGTATTGGTCAGGCTGGTCTTGAACTCCCAACCTCAGGTGATACGCCTGCCTCGGCCTCCCAAAGTGCTGGGATTACAGGCATGAGCCACCGCGCCCGGCTGACAATGGGCTTTCTGTAATCACAAACTGCAATCTACATCCCAGATTGCAAATCACAAAGCCTGAGCATGTGCAGATTAATCCAGCATGCCTGATTGGTGTATCCAGGAGCCAAATTTACCTCTAGTTTAACCTCCAAACTGCCCTTGGTCATTCCTAGGCATGGCCCGAGCTAATTTTGAAAGAAATTTAGTTTACAGTTTAAATGATAATAGCCTCCCCAAACCTAAACCACTTGTAAAACTAATAAAAGGCCATCCACCAGGTTAGAAGGATGACAGAGGCATGAATTCTGCTAAGATGTAGGTATAGTTAAACAATTACCAGCCATTATTCGGAGGATACAAGATTTGCAACTTCCCCAATTACTCCTATAAGTAACATCACTATTGTAGAACCTAAGATTGGCCTTTTCGGATTGCAAATGTCTTTTCAGACTTTTGCATTTCTCACAACAAGATGGCTCCACCCAGATCCAAGACTCATGATTCAATGGTCCTGTGGCAGACTCAGCACATGAGGACCATTTTCCACACCCCTATATTTCATCCCGAACCAATCAGCAGCACCCATTCCCTAGCTCCCTGCCCACCAAACTACTTTCAAAAAAACACTACCCAGCTAGGCGCAGTGGCTCACAACTGTAATCCCAGCACTTTGGGAGGCTGAGGTGGGCGGATCACAAAGTCAGGAGATCAAGACCATCTTGGCTAACACAGTGAAACCCCATCTCTACTAAAACAATATACAAAAAATTAGCCGGGCATGGTGGCACGTGCCTGGTCCCAGCTCCTCAGAAGGCTGAGACAGGAGAAACGCTTGAACCCAGGAGGCAGAGGTTGCAGTAAGCCAAGATTGCGCCACGGCACTCCAACCTGGGCAACAGAGCAAAACTCCATCTCAAAACAAACAAACACTACGCTCCAAATTTATGGAGAGGCTAATTTGAGTAATAGTAAAACTCCAGTCTCCTATTTAGCCAGCTCTACGTGTATTACACTCTGTCTCTATTGCAATTCCCTTGTCTTGATAAATAGGCTCTATCTGGGCAGCAGGCAACAGGAACCCTCTGGTCAGTTACAGAACCTCAGTAACTGAACCCAGGGCAGAGCAAATTAAGAAGCAAGGAGTGCCCTGTTTTGCTGCAGAGTTAATTTAAGGGTCAAGGTCCCTGCACTACCTCCTGAACAGCCCAATGAGATCATGCCTCATTGTATTTTCCTGTCTCCCCTCATAGTCACTCTGCCTATAAAACCTGTCCCCAGACCCTAGCTTAAGGAGACAGATTCGAGCACTGCCTCCTCTCTCCTTGCTAGTCAACCTTGCAATAAAGCTTTTTCTTTTATCAAAGGCTGGTGCCATAATATTTGCTTCTATGCACACTGGGCAGCAAGCCCACTGCTCAATGACAATTCCGGTGACCCAGATGAGATGAGTGACATTAACAGAAGACTTTAAAACAATCATCTTTAGAAGAAAATTAGGAAAACAATGTATAAACTGAATGAGACCAACGAAGAGAAAAGAACCAACCAGAAACTCTGGAGCTAAAAAGAATAACCAAAATGAAAAATTCATGGGAGGGTTCAAAAGCAGAATTTAGCTGAAAGAAGAAATAACTTAAGAGATAAAAATCAATAACAGAAGGAAAACTAAAAGATATGTGGAAATTAGGCAACATACTCCTGAAAAATGGGGAAAGGAATCAGAAAATTCATTGAGATAGAGACAACATATCAAAACTTAGAGCATGCAGTGAAAACAGTGCTAAGAGAAAATTTAGAGCTATAAATGCATACATTAAATAAGAAGATCTCATTTCAACAGCGTAACTTTACACCTAAGGAACTTAAGAACAAACTAAACCCAAAGCTACCAGAAGGAAGGAAATACTAAAAATAAGAGTGGTGATAAATAAAACAGAAAAAAAAAATAAAGGAAATCAACAAAACAAAATTTTAGTTCTTTAAAAAGATCAACAATATTGACAAACCTTTAGCTGTATTGATTAAGAAAATAAGAAAGAGTACACAAATTACTATGATCAGAAATTAAAGTGAGGACATTACTATTGATTCTACAGAAATAATTATGAGAATACAATGAAAAATGATATGCCAAAAAGTTGGATCACCTAGATAAAATGAATATATTCACAGAAGCACACAATCTACCCAAACTGACAAAGAAATAGAAAACTTCAATAGACCTATAATTAGTAAGGAGACTGAATAAGTAACCAAAAGCTTCCAACAACAACCAAAAAGTCCAAGACCACATAGCTTGACTGATGAATTCTACTGAAACATCTAAGGAAGAATTAACACCAATCCTCTCAAACTCTTCCAGAAATTTAAAGAAAAGAGAATACTTCCTAATTCATCCTTATAGCCAGCATTACCCTGATAACAAAGGCAGAAAAAGATACAAGAAAACCAGACCAATATCCTTTATGAATCACAATGAAAAAAATCCTCAATACTAGCAAACTGAATTCAGCAGCATCTTAAAAGGAATACACAACGTGACCAAGTGTGATTTACTCCCAGAATACAAGGATGGTTCAATATAATCAATGTAATACTCCAACATGAAGAATGAAGGATGTGAACTACATGATCATCTAAACTTATATAGAAAATGCATTTTACAAAATTCAACACCCTCCCATGATAAAAACCCTCAATAACCTATGAATAACTTGAACATAATGGAGACATATGAAAAATCCACAGGTAACACAATACTCAATACTCAGTGGTGAAAGACTGAAAGCATTTTCCTTAAGATCAGAAACAAAATAATGATGTCCACTTTCACTTATTCTAGCCAACATAATATTGGAAGTTTTAGCCAGAGTAATCAGGCAAGAAAAAGAAATAAAAGACATTCAAACTAGAAAGGAAGATGTAAAACTATCTCTGTTCACAGATGACATGATCGTAAATGCAGAAAACCCGAAAAATTGTTAGCTTGAATACATCAAAGCTGCAGGATACAAAATCAATACATGAAAATCAGTTTCATTTCTGTACACTTGCAATGAACATTGATAAGAAAATTAAGAAAACAATTCAATTTACAATAGCATCACAAAGAATAAAATAATTAGTAATATACTTAACCAAGGATGTGAAAGATTATTCACTGAAAACTACAAAACAGTGCTAAAAGAAGTTAAAGAAAACATAAGTAAGTAGAAAGACATCGCATGTTCATGGATTGGAACTCTAAATATTGTGAAGATGACAACACTACCCAAAATGATCTACAGATTCAATATAATCGGCATCCCAACAGTATTTTTTGTGGGGAAAAAAAATCCTAAAATTCATTTGGAATCTCAAGGGACACCAAACAGCTATGCAATCTTCAAAAAGAAAAAGTTGGAAGACTCACACTTCCTGATTTCAAAACTTACTACAAAGCTACATTAATCAAAATAATGTGGTTCTGGATTACAAGAGATTTACAAATCAATAGAATGTTTTTTTCAAATTGATTTTCAACACGAGTGCCAAGACCATTCAAATGTCTTGAAAAGACAAGTCTTTTCAACAGCAAATACTGGAAAACTGGGTATCAACATGCAAAAAGGATCTTTATACCATATACAAAACTTAATACAAAATGGATCAAAGACCAAGCAAAAGCTAAATCAATGAGACCCTTAGAAGAAAACAAGAGAAAATTTATGAAACATTGGATTTAACAATGTCTTCTAGAATATACACCAAAAGCAATCAACCAGAGAAAAAACAGATAAACTGGACTTCATCAAAATTAAAAACTTTTCAATCAAAGGACACTATTAAGAGAGTGAAAAGACGACCCACAAAGTGTGAGAAAACACCTGCAAATAATATATCTGATAAGGAATTAATATCCAGAACATACAAAGGAATTCCTACAACAAGGAAATCCAACTCAACAATGGACAAAGGATTTGAATAGATACTTCTCCAAAGAAATACACATGGCCAATAAGCATCTATAAAGATGCTCATCAAAAGCACAAACAACCAAAACCAAAACAGAAAATAAATAATGGCCAAGAACATGGAGAAACTGGAACCCCTGTGCATTGGTGGTGGGAATAGCACTGGCGGTTGGAATGTAAAATACTATAGCCACTACAGAAAAGTTTTGTGTCTCCTCAAAAAGTTAAGTAGAATTACCATGTGATCTAGCAATT
Source organism: Homo sapiens (assembly GCF_000001405.40). Lineage (NCBI taxonomy): Eukaryota > Metazoa > Chordata > Mammalia > Primates > Hominidae > Homo > Homo sapiens. The sequence goes on along the minus strand of NW_025791811.1, from coordinate 229,605 downwards.
CCACTCTTAGTTAATACCCAAAATAATTGAAAACAGGGACTTAAAAAGATACTTCTAAACCAATATTCATAGCAGCATTATTCACAGTTGATAAAGGTGGAAACAACCCAAATATCCAACAGTTAAATGGATAAACAGAATGTGCTATACACATACAGTGTAATAATATTCGGCCTTAAAAATAATAAAATTCTTACACATACTACAACATGGAGGAATCCAGAAAGCATTATGCTAAGTGAAATAAGCTAGACATGAAAGATAAACATGTTATGATTCCACTTACATGATTGTATCTACAACTGGCAAATTTATAGAGACAGTCAAGAATAAGAGGGGACAGGTGAGAAGGAAGACTGTATAGTGTAGATATTGTTTAATGGGTACAAAGTTTACAAAGTTTCTTTCATTTCATTTTAAGAGAGGAGGTCTACTCTGTTGCCCAGGCTGGAGTACAGTAGTGCAAATCACAGCTCATCGCAGCCTCAAACTCCTGGGTTCAAGCAATCCTCCTACTTCAGCCTCCTGAATAGGTGGGACAACAAGTGCACACCACCAGTTTTTTTTGAATGTTCATTTTAGAGATGAAGTCTCACTATGTTGCCAAGGCTGGTCTCAAACTTCTAGCCTCAAGCTATCCTCCTGCTTCAGCCTCCTGAGTAGCTGGGATTACAGGAGCAAGCCACTGTACCCAGCTCAAAGTTTCTATCTGGGAATATGAAAAAATTGTGAAAATGGATACTGGTGATTGTCGCACAGCACTGTGAATGTACTCAATGTCACTAAACTGAACATTTAAAAATAGTAAAAATGGCAAATTCTATGTTATGTATATTTTACCATAATTAAAAAGCTTAAATTTACAAGAGTAGATTGGGAAACAAGAGAACTCAAGAAAAGGGGCTGGGCACAGTGGCTCACACTTGTAATACCAGCACTTTGAATGGCCAATTGCTTGAGCCCAGGAGTTCGAGACTAGCCTGTGCAACATGGTAAAACCCCACCTCTACAAAAAAAAAAAAAAAAAAATTTGCTGGGCATGGTTGTGTGCACCTGTAGTCCCAACTACTCAGGAGGCTGAGGTAGGAGAATTGATTGAGCCCAGGAGGTCAAGGTTCCAGTGAGCCATGATTGCACCATTGCACTCCAGCCTGGGCAACAGCAAGACCCTATCTAAAAAAACAAAACAAAACAAAAAAACAGAAAGAAAAGCAAGTAAAGATTAATCAAGAAAGAACAGATGTATTCGGTTATTGAAGGAAACAGAGAAAATTAAATGAGGAACTGGTATGATAAGTGAACACAGAAAAGCTATGAAAGAAGAACAGATATATCTGCAGGAGGAAAAAATGGCAAGTGAATTAACTCTGGAGAAGCAAAAACGATATTAAGGGGTGGAAACTGCATACCCTCTAAATTATTGTATGAACTGTTGCCAATTTATTCTCATCGTATTGAAGTTTCTGTAGCTCTCCTGCTCAAAAATCTTCATAGGTTTTCATTGCCCTGGCACGATATTTTCTTACTTATTTCATCGGCAATCCTCAACCTGGTTCCAAATCAAAGGCTTAGATAAATCAATAAGCTATACTTAAATTCTTGTTTTAAACACGTTGATGAAAATTCAGTAACTAAATATTTCAGAAAAGACAAAAACATTATGAAATACAATTTCTCTGTCAACTTAAAAATAAACTAAATGAATACATCTGAAAGAAGACATTAAGAAGACTCTCTCCTATGCAAAAATTATTGGGGGTGGGGGGGAGGGGGGAGCAAGAAAGGAAAAGTTGTCGTCTCTGGCTACCACCAATCTGTAACCCATGTCAAAATATCTGTTCACGCTGACCAAAATGTATTTAAGGAAAATCCTTATTTACTAACATAATTCATTTAATATGTTAAAAAGAAAACTAGTAGACTATGTGATGAAGTTACAGACTTAAGAAATATAAAGAAAGAATTTTCCATCTTGTGTCAACACAAAGTCATGTTTATATATATCAAAAAATGAAAGATTTGGGGGTTTTGTTTTTACAATATTTTTAAAAACAAGCTTCCTTGGGAGCCTGAGGCAGGTGGATCACCTGAGGTCGAGACCAGCCTGGCCAACATCGTGAAACCCATCTCTACTAAAATATAAAAAATTAGCTGGGCGTGATGGCAGGCGCCTGTAACCCCAGCGACTCGGGAGGCTGAGGCAGGAGAACTGCTGGAACCCAGGAGGCGGAGGTTGCAGTGAGACAAGGTCAAGTGCCATGGCACTCCAGCCTGGGCAACAAGAGCGAAACTCCGTCTCAAAAAAAAAAAAAAAAAAAAAAAGCTTAATATAAGGACAATTTACATAATACTTAATGGTACACACTGCAATACACAATGAAATTGATGTGTTGTCAAAATAATCTTAGGAAAGTACAGTTGAGCCAGCTGGGCACGGTGGCTAACGCCTGTAATCCCAGCACTTTGGGAGGCCGAGGTGGGCAGATCACGAGGTCAGGAGATAGAGATCATCCTGGCTAACACGGTGAAACCCCGTCTCTACTAAAAATACAAAAAATTAGCCGGGCATGGTGGCGGGCACCTGTAGTCCTAGCTACTCGGGAGGCTGAGGCAGGAGTATGGCATGAACCTGGGAGGCGGAGCTTGCAGTGAGCCAAGATGGCACCACTGCACTCCAGCCTGGGCGACAGAGAGAGACTTCGTCTCAAAAAAAAAAAAAAAAAGAAAGTACAGTTGACCCTTGAACAACACAGGTTTGAACAGCACAGGTCCACTTATACATTGATTCTTTCAATAAATATATTGGAACATTTTTTAGAGACTTGCAACAATTTGAAAAAAAAACTGGCAGACAAACCACATAGTCTAGAAATATGAAAATTAAGAAAAAGTATGTCATGAATGCTTAAAATACATGTAGACACTAGTCTATTTCATCATTTACTACCATAAAATATACCCAAATCTATTACAAAAATGAAAATTTATCAAAACTTATGCACACACTTATAGATCATACATGGCGCCATTCAGTCAAGAGAAAGGTAAACAAAGGTAAAGAGGCAGTACTAAATCACAACTGCACAAAATTAACCACAGTACATACTGTACTACTGTAATATTTCTTAGCCACCTTCTATTGCTATTGCGGTGACCTCAAGTATTTCAAGTATCCACTTAAAATGCTGTGTGAGGCTGAACACCTCTGCGTAAACAGTCTGTCTCTCCAATAAATTGCATATCACAGTAAAAAAGTGGATCTCTTGCAGTTGTCACATATTTTTTATCATGTTTAGTGCAATACCATAAACCTGAATAACATCACAGACCCACACAAAGTGCCATTAATAATGCTGGAAGTACTCCCAAGAAGCAGAGAAAAGTCATGACGTTAAAAGAAAAAGCTGAAGTGCTTGATATTTAGGTCTGCAGCTGCAATCCCTCACCATTTAAGATACATGAATCCAGCCTAAGAGTCATTATTAAAAAAAGGAAAGAAAATTTGCATCACTACAGCTATGCCCGCAGGTCCGAAAACCTTGCAGTTTTTGCATAATATCTTTTAATCTCATACTGATAATCTCATACTAAAAATGCAGCTTTTATGTGAGTGCAGGATTGCTAGAAGAATGAGCATACCTATAGACTAATAGGACCTGAGAAAAAGCAAAGTCATTATATGACAACTTAAAGCATTAAGGAAGATGAGGATCTAAAGCTGAAGAATTTAATGCCAGCAAAGGATGGTTTGATATGTGTTATAAAGAAGTCTGTCTTAAAATATGTCACACCCTGAGTACGGTGGCTCACACCTGTAATCCCAGCACTTTGGGACGCAGAGGAGGGTGGATCACTTGAGGCCAGGAGTTCCAGACCAGCCTGGCCAACGTGGCGAAACCCCATCTCTACTAAAAATACAAAATTTAGCTGGGCGGGGGTACATGCCTATAACCCCAGCTAACTGGGTAGCTGAGGTACAAGAATCACTTGAACTTGGGAGGCGAAGGTTGCAGTGAGCTAAGATCATGCCACTGTACCCCAGCCTGGGCGACAGAGCGAGACTCTGCCTTTAAAAAAAAAGAAAAGTCGCAATAATAGTAGAAAAAGCTACTGTTGACCAAGAGGCAGAAGGCAAATTCCCAGATGCCATTAAGAAAATCATAGGGGAGGCCAGGCGCGGTGGCTCAGGCCTGTAATCTCAGCACTTTGGGAGGCCGAGGTAGGCAGATCACGAGGTCAGGAGATCAAGACCATCCTGGCTAACACGGTGAAACCCTGTCTCTACTAAAAAATACAAAAACTTAGCCAGGTGTGGTGGCGGGCGCCTGGAGTCCCAGCTAGTCGGGAGGCTGAGGCAGGAGAATGGCATGAACCCGGGAGGCAGAGCTTGCAGTGAGCCGAGATCGGGCCACTGCACTCCAGCCTGGGTGACAGAAGCAAGACTCCGTCTTACAAAAAAAAAAAAATCGAAGAGAAAGAATATCTACTTGAACAGGCTTTTTAACGCAGACAAAAGTGCTCTATTCTGAAGGGGGGGAAATGCCACAAAAGACATTCATTATTAAGGAAGAGATGCAAGCACCAGGATTTAAAACAGGAAGGGACAGGCTGTTTTACGCAAATACAGTCAGGTTTATGATCAAAGTTGCCCTCATTTATAAGGCTGCTAACCTCCAAACCTTGAAGGAAAAAGATAAACACCAGCTGCCAGTCTTTTGGTTGTACAAGAAAGGCCTAGATAATGAGACGCTGTGCTCCTATCAGGAAGCACCTTGCCAGTAAGGGACTGCCTTTTAAAGTTATTTTGAGGTTGTACAATGCCCCTGGCCACCCAGAACCCCATGAGTTCAACACCACAAATATCAAAGTGGTCTACTTGCCCCCAAACACAGTATCTATAATTCAGCTTCTATATCAGGGGGTCATAAGGACCTTTAAGCAGCACTACACACAGTATTCTATGGAAAAGACTGTGAATGCTATGAAAGAGAACCCTGATAGAACATCATGAAAGTTTGGAAGAATTACACCACTGAAAATTCCACTGCTGTTATAGAAAAAGCCATGAAAACCATCAAGCCCAAAACAATATTCATGCTGGAGAAAACTTTGTCCAGATGTTGCACATGGCTTCACAGAATTTATGACACAGTCAATCAAGGAAATCATGAAAGAGACTGGGAATATGGCAAAAAGGGTAGGGGGTGAAGGGTTTCAAGATGCAGATCCTGGAGAAATTCAAGAGCTAACAAACACCAGGTCACCAGAGGAATTAACAGAAGAAAACTTGATGGAGATGAGTGCTTCCAAACCAGTGCCAGACAATGAGAAAGAAGACATACCAGATGCAGTGCCAGAAAACAAACTGACATTAGACAATCTGGCAGAAGGGTTCCTATTATTCAAGACTGTTTTTGATTTATGACATAGAACCTTCTATGACATAGGCACTGAAACTAAGCACTGGAAAAAAGATTAAAGCATTGGTACCATACATTTTTAGAGAAATGAAAAGGCAAAAAAGTCAGACAGAAATTACAATGTATTTCTGTGAAGCTGCATCACGCATGCCTGCCTCCCCCTCTACCTTCCCTCTACCTTTTCTGCCTTTGCCACCCCTGAGACAGCAGGACCAACCAGCCCCCCATCCTCCTAAGCCTATTCAATGTTAAGACAATGAAGATGAAGACTTTTGTGATGACCCACTTCCACTTAATAAACAGTAAGTAGATTTTCTCTTATGATCTTAATAGCACTTTTTCTCTAGCTTCCTTTATTATAGTATGTAATACAGATAAACATGTATAAAAATATGAAATATAAAGTCTTTCTAAATGACCAAATTTTTTTTTAATTTCCAACTTTCATTTAAGTTCAGGGGTGCATGTGCAAGACACACAGCTTTGTTAGACAAATAAACGTGTGCCGTAGTGGCCAGCTACACAGATCAACCCATCACCTAAGTATTGAGCCCAGCATCCATTAGCTATTCTTCCTGATGCTCTCACTCCTCCCATCCTTACCTTCTGACAGGCCCAGTGTGTGTTACTCCCCACAATGTGTCCATGTGTTCTCATCATTCTGCTCCCACATAAAAGTGAGAACATGTGGTATTTGGTTTTCTGTTACTGCGTTAGAGTTTGTCGAGCATAATGGCTTCCAGCTCCATCCGGGTCCCTGCAAAGGACATGATGTTGTTCCTTTTTATGGCTGCATAGTATTGCATGGTGTATATGTACCACATTTTCTTTATCCAGTCTATCATTGGTGGGCATTTAGGTTGAGTCTATGTCTTTGCCATTGTGAACAGTGCTGTAATGAACATACGCCTTCTTTTATTATCTTTATAATAGAATGATTTATATTCATTTGGGTGTATACACCCAGTAATAGGATTGCTGGGTCAAACGGTATTTTTACCTCTATGTCTTTAAGGCATTGTCATACTGTCTTCCACAATGGTTGAGCTAATTTACATTCCCACCAACAGTGTATCAGTGTTCCTCTATAACCTCGCCAGCATCTGTTGTTCTTTGACTTTTTAATGATAGCCATTCAGACTGGTGTGAGTTGGTATCACATTGTGGTTTTGATTTGCATTTGCATCATTACTCATTAGTGATGAGTAATGTTGAGCTTTTTGTCATATGTTTGTTGGCCACATGTATGTCTTCTTTTGAGAAGTGCCTGTTCATGTCCTTTGTCTATTTTTAATGGGGTTGTTTGGTTTTTTCTTGTAAATTTAAGTTCCTTATAGATGCTGGATATAAGACCTTTGTCAGATGGATAGATTATAAAAATTTTCTCCCATTCTGTAGGTTCTCTGTTCATGCTGAGAGTTTCTTTGGCTGTGCAGAAACTCTAGTGTAATTAAATCCCATTTGTCAATTTTTGCTTTTGTTGCAATTGTTTTTGGCATCTTCACATGAAATCTTTGCCCATGCCTAGATCCTGAATGGTACTGCGTATGTTGTCTTCCAGGATTTTTAGTTTGGGGTTTTACATTAAAATCTTTAATCCATCTTGAGTTAATCTGTGTATAAGGTGTAAGGAAGGGGTCCAGTTTCAATTTTCTGCATATGACTAGGCAGTTTTCCCAGCACCATTTATTAAATAGAGAATCCTTTCTCCATTGCTTGTTTGTGATCTCCAGGTTTGTCGGAGATCACATGGTTGTAGGTGTGCAGACTTATTTCTGGGTTTTCTATTCTGTTCCACTGGTCTATGTCTGTTCTTGTACCAGTCCCATGCCATTTTGGTTACTTTGGCCTTGTAGTATAGTTTGAAGTCAGGTAGCGTGATGCCTCTAGCTTTGTTCTTTTTGCTTAGGACTGTCTTGGCTATTTGGGCTCTTTTTTGGTTCCATATGAATTTTAAAGTAGTTTTTTCTAATTCTGTGAAGAATGTTGATAGTAGTTTAATAGGAATAGTACTGAATCTATACCCTGCTTTGGGCAGTATGACCATTTTTGTAATATTGATTCTTCCTATCTATGAGCACGGAACGTTTCTCTGTTTGTGTCCTCTCTGATTTCCTTGAGCAGTGGTTTGTAGGTCTCCTTGAAGAGATCCTTCACTTCCCTTGTTAGCCACATTCCTAAGTATTTTATTCTTTTTGTGGCAACTGTGAATGAGAGCTCATTTGTGACTTGCCTCCCGGCCTGCCTGTTTTTGGTGTATAGCAATGCTAGAGATTTGTATGCATTTATTTTGTATCCTGAGACTTTGCTGAAGTTGCTTATCAGCTTGAAAAGCTACTGGGCTGAGATGATGGGGTTTTCTACGTGTAGGATCATGTCATCTACAAACAAAAATAGTTTGACTTCCTCTCTTTCTAGCTGAATACGCTTTACCTCATTCTCTTGCCTGATTACCCTGCCCAGAACTCCCAACACTATCTTGAATAGGAGTGGTGAGAGAGGCCATCTTTGTCTTGTGTTCGTTTTCAAGGGGAATGCTTCCAGCTTTTGCCCATTCAGTATGGTATTATCATAGATGGCTCTTTAAATGACCAATTTTTAAAAATATTTTATACTTGAGTATAAGATAATTTTATAATTTTCACCTAACTCATCCTCATTATTATTTTATTTTTCCCCTATTGCTGTTCTGTATAAACATTAAAAGTAATTACTCAAAAAGACAATCTAAACTTATAGCCATAGCTGCTTTCCCTGATACTAACCAGTCAGAGAAAATTAGCATAAGCCTGGCAGAGTCTCTGCCAACACTACTCCATCCAAAAAGTGTAACAATAACATTGCTTCTCTAGGTGGTATTCTAGTGGAGCCTTAACACAGTAGTAGGAAAGGAGATTAACAGAAGGCATAACTATTAAACCCAAGAACTAGAACTCTTGTCTCAACAAAGAAGTAATGCCATCTTTCTATCATATCTACCCATCCACCCATTTATATATCTACCTTTGTCTTTCTACCATATCCTGGGCCTATTGTTTAGTAATTCTATGTATTTTATATGGGAGCTATAAATACATGCACGCGCATGCACAAACACACACGTATATGCCTCCTTTGTAGACTGTTAACCACTGGGACATTCTCATTTAATATACATGTTGAGAGGGAGGAAGAGGGAGGAAGAGACAGAGAAGAGGAGAGAAGGAAGGGGCAAATTGAAAATGATAGTCAAAAATTTTAAAAAAAGGACTCTTTGGTCACCTGTGGAGGATTTTAGGGAATGAACTCAATCTGAAAATCAGTAAATAAGGGAAATATGGCATTTATTCTGCTTTCCTTTATAAACCGTACTGCATAATAAAAGACTTAATAACAGAAAGTTCCTCTTTATAGAAGTCTGACAAATAAATAAGGAATGATAAAATTCACATACCACTATTTTGCAACCCCTAATAACGTAATGGATCTAAGCAATAATCACGAATGGCTGCTAAAACCATTAGGTAAAAGGTTGTCAGAGAACTTTACACCAGACAGTTTAGTGACAATATTCAGCTGACAATACATGAACCCAGGGATCAATCTTATCACTACTGAGGGAGACAATGACGCATTATGTGCCCTGTGATATGATGCAAAAAGATGTACAATAATCTATAAAGCATTATTTCAAAAAAATTTAAACCCCACTCTGAACAAACCTCTGGATTTAACTACCAACTCATAAGAAATAAAGGGGACAGAGGAACATGTTCAATGATACCACAGAGATGCAGTAAGCAAAATTCAAAATATAAAAAATTCTGCAGGACAGCCTAGTGTATTCAACAAATAAATTATAAGGGAGGAAGGAAAAAAGGACAGAGAAAGGTAACTATAGATTAAAAGTGACTTAAGGAACAAATCAATTAAATGCAATATATGGACCTTGATTAGATCTTGATTCAAGCAAATCAATTGTAAAAGAAAAAATCCTTTATGAGACAATGGGAAAAACATGAATACTAAGTGGATATTTAATTATATCAAAATTAAATTTTAAGTTAAATTTTAAATGTGAGAGGTAATAATAGTATTTTAGTAAAACAACAAAAATATGCCATCTTTTAGAGATACATACATATGCATATACACAGATACTCATTTATAGATAAAATTTATATGACATATGTGATTTCATTCAAAATAGTCTGGGGGGAAGGTATAGGGAGCACTGGTATAGATGAAATAAAATTGGCCGTGTAATAACTGTTGAAACTGGGTAATGGATGCATTGCTACAGTCAGGCATTGCTTAACAATGGAATACGTTCTGAGAAAGGCGTTGTTAGGTGATTTCATTGCTGTGCAAACATTGTAAGGTATACTACAAAAATCTAGATGGTACACAGTCTATACACACCTAGATTATATGGTACAGCCAATTGCTCCTAGGCTAAAACCCATACAGCATGTTACTGTACAGAATACTGTAGGCAACTATAACACAATGGTAAGTCATTGTGTATTTAAACCTACGTAAACACAGAAAAGGCATAGTAAAAATACAGTATTATAATCTTATGGGACCACCATCATATATGCAGGATGTCAATGACCAAAACATCATTTTGTGGCACATGACTGTATTCTAGCTTTACATATATTTATAAATGCTCATTAAAAGTTTGGAAAAAGAGGCAGGTGCAGTGGCTCACGTCTGTAATCCCAGCACCTTAGGAGGCCAACATGGGCAGATCACTTGAGGTCAGGAGTTCAAGACCAGCCTGGCCAACACAGTGAAAGCCCATCTCCACAAAAAATACAAAAATTAGTCAGGCGTGGTGGCACGCATCTATAATCCCAGCTACTCAGGAGCTCAGCAGGAGAATTGCTTGAAGCCAGGAGGTGGAGGTTGTAGTGAGCCCACATCGCGCCACTGCACTCCAGCCCGGGGCACAAAGTAAGTGAGACTCAGTCTCAAAAAAAAAAAAAAGTTTGGAGAAAGAATTGTCCCTTGTAGATTATTAACTCTTCAGGCATTCTTATTTAACTTACGATTAAGCCCCACCAACCCATAAGGCACCATTCCAGGTGCTAGAGACAGTACAATAGGAGAGACAAGAATTTTAAAATCCCCACAACATAGCAACTGACAAATGATATTGAATTATTACATAATTGGTAACACAGAGGAAGAATTAGAAATATGTAAGTCTAGAAATTAGCTAACAACAGTTAATAAATATGAACATAAACAGCAAGCAAATTATGTATTTAATGGGTTTTTCTGGATGGGGTTTTTGTTTTTTGGGTTTTTTTATTTTTATTTTTTGGTAATCATCTCCCATTCTTTCCTCTTCCAATCCATGGCTTTCCAATATTACCAAAGGGGTAAGTCAAAATAAAACTTGCTTCCCCCTTTCCATATAAACACTGATTTTGTGTTCCTTGGCAATATTTTGTTTCCTTTTGTTTCAAGAAGGCTTAAAATCCAAATTGTTACAAATATATTTGGCTGCTCCCCTCTTTTTTATTTAACTTTCTATTGTATTATAATAACAAGAAGCATTTGGTTAAAGTAAAATAAATCTGAACAAAGCAAGAAAAAAATTAAAAGCAATAGCTCAAGAACTATTCAAGTACTCAGGAATATTTAGGCAAAAATGGTCCTCTATAAAAACGTAAGTAATGATAAGATATTAAATTTAAAACTGATATACTGTTCTAACCCGATAAATATTGTTCATTTCCTATAATTAGAAACTAAGTGACAAGGAATTATAGAATTCTTTTAATACTTAGTTTAAAATCCCATATTTAATAAATATCAATACCTACTTATACATGTATAAGCAATGACTTAAAACGTTTCAAATATAACCATATGTATAGTTTTCCTTTATTATTTTTTGTAAATTTATATTTTTAAAGGATTTTTAAACTGTTAAAACACTAAAACTCTCTTGACTAATATTTTTTAATAACTGAGCACTGAATAGGTAACACAAGAAAAAGTCATATGAAAAATGTGTATTGTATATAAATATTTACAAATATTACTTGTAAAATGAGCCATTCCACTTCATGAAAAAGGAAGAGGCCATTCACCAGAGTCTGGGTCACAACAGAGAGAAGCAAGTAACATTTCAGGAAAAATAGAAATATAATTTTGATCACATCACCTTGTTCCCCATGGAGGACTTTCAAGTTTAAAACAGCATAAGGGGGAAAATAAGAAACACACAGAGCAGTTGTAACCACTTATAAAGCTCATATTGGGAGGCAGGATTAAACATGCAATATCTTGTTAGAGGATAACTATGTTAGGTGTTATTCTATTCAATGTATTCTTTTCTAATTTGGGGAACATTTACTACAGGTTGAGTAGTCCTAATGCAAAAATTCAAAATCCCAAATGCTCCAAAATCTGAAACTTTTTGAGCACCAACATAATGCTCAAAGGAAATGCTCACTGGAACATTTTGGATTTTGGATTAGGAATGCTGAACCAGCAAGTATAATCCAAACAATCCAAAACCCCAAACACTTCTGGTCCTGTGCATTTTGGATAAGGGATACTCGACCTGTAGCCATTTAAAAAAAAGAAGAAGATAGTGCTGCTGCTGAAATATTCAATACCAGTTGCTTATAAACAAAAAAAGAAATTACTGAGACTCAAACATGAAGAGGCACATAGCCTTAGGTAAGACAGAGGACCAGAATTCTGTTCTCCTGATTTCTAGCCCTGTATTCTTTTCATTACACAGCACTCTCCTCTCTTTCAATGATGTCTTAACCAGACCTTTTTTTTTTTTAACCTTTGTACAAGATTTTATTAAAGGTCTTTACAGAGCAACAACCAGACTCCAGAATACAGCTGCCAAGGAGACCCTGTTACACTGTGGGGACTGGCTAGGGCAATGCAGGTGGCTCTGGCTTCCCACCCTTCTGTTCTGAGACGGGGTGGTGGGCAGCAAATCATCTTTGGGTTCCATGATGCTCACGTGATCAGGCAGGGGCTTCTTAAGGCCAATCTTATCAGTTTGGAATCAGACCATTCTTAAAACAACTTGCATTTACAGAAGACACTGGGCAGACAGGTCAGATGTGCACATCCCAATCAGCTTGTCCAATGACCCCATTAGAACGTGGGGTAGAGCTGCTACCCCGCTTGCCCAAGGTCACACGTTTCCAGGCTACGTAAGGTCTAAAAGAACCCACAGCTTTTCACTGCTAATCCCACATGCTTTGCCTTTCTAGAAAAACAAAGTTGTGTCTAAAACCCAAATCCTCAGGTCAATGTGTTCTCTTCACAGACACCAAGGCCTAATCTTTCCCTTCAGATTTTATCCATAGGAATTCCATGCTAGTCTTTATTCTGGGCCCATAGTACCCGGTGTAGTTCCATCGATCTAAGACCACAACCTTTGAAATTAGCATGTTTCAAGTCCATTTCATAAAGTCTTTCTCAACTGTTAAGCACCTTAAGAAGCACCGTTTGTCTAAACTTCACATCCAGATCATTAATACCAACGAGTGTTAATTCAAAGACAAGCATATTAAACATCCATTAAATCTATTATGTTGTTTTTAGAAACTTTTTCACGTACCTTTTTAATCCTTAAAACTTCCTTTATATTCTAACATAATCTAGATTCCCACCAAATCATAAAGACTTTGAGAGTAAATTCTGTCATACAAATACTTTACATACAGACATAATAACACATCATACAAAATATATTCTCTAAAATAATGAGAAATGTTCTTTGGTTTTTCTATTTTTCCTAATATACTCTCTCTTTCAGCTGTATCCCCAATCCTAAAAATAACATAAGATAATCGATTATAAATGAACTTAAAGCAAACTCAAAGGGCCACACCACCAAAGCAGCAAATCTCTAATAGCATTTGCTCCAAGAACTGTTACAGAATAGAAAAAATAAAAAAGGACCTGTAAAAAAAGTACCATATTATAAATGTGGTATATTTCAGAACACAAATTATGTTAATATACTTTCCTAAGTTTAAAAAACACCGTAGGTTACTAAAAACAATTAAATCACAACCAAACAATAATTTCAAATAGCAAAATAGTAATCTCTTTATTGAACGCCAGTTATTCATTTCTGTCAACAATTGTCCTAAAATGGGAAAAATATCTACCTAAAAAATGTTCCGAGAAACTTACCATCATTTTGGCCCTTGCCCTTCATCTCCTCCTTCCATGATAGAATGCTGTTCAGGGGAATATAGTCTCTTAGGTATTCTTTGCGTCTCTCTTCTAAGGTCATCTTCAATAAACGTTCTTGCAAAATAAAAGCAGAATCTCCATTTGTATTTAACGTTTAAACATGGGAATTATTTTTATACTTTAAGTATTAACCAAGTTAAGCTAACAAAAGAGTTGATACAGTCCTGAAGAACACAATGCAAATCCAGTGACTCCATATTTAAATGTTAAAAAATGTTAAATTTCATATTACCAGGGGAGAAAAAAATCAAAGCCTGATGAAGACTCTCTTATGATAGTCCAAGAAATAAGTAAACTCATTTACACTTTCAAGCAACATCTACAGTTTACTATGGGCCAGGTGATATGCTGGATAAGTGATATGGTTTGGATATATATCCCCTGAAATCTTATGTTGAAATGTAATCCCCAATGTGTGACATGGTGTCTAGTGGGAGGTAATTGGGTCATGGGAGCAGATCCCTCATGGCCTGGTGCTAGCCTCAAGATAGTGAGTTTTCGTGAGATCTGGTTGTTTGAAAGTGTGTGGCACTTCCCCCCAACCCTCTCGTGCTACTGTTCTTGCCACGTGAAGTGCCTGCTCCTACTTCATCTTGCCCCGTAAGTAAAAGCTCCCTCCGCTTCATCTTGCCCTGTAAGTAAAAGCTCCCTGAGGCCTCCCAGAAGACCTAACAGATGCCAATGCTATCCTTGTGTTGCCTGCAGAACCATGAGTCTATTAAACGTCTTTTTTTTAATAAATTACTCAGTCTTAGGCATTTCTTTACAGCAACTGCAAGAACAGTCTAACACAGTAAGATACAAAATAGTATCTATATAAATAAAATGCTAAGACAGGTATGTACAAATAGTAAGAGCACAAAAAAAGGCAACCACCAAGATATTTCCTCAACTGCACTATCAATTTACTTACAGCTTTGTGTAGATGATATAAGAATTGCTTTAAATATATATATCTTGACGATAAAATGAAAATATTTTACAAATTGCATCTTAGAATTAGAGTGGATGTCATTTATAAAGAACTCACTATGGCCAGGTACTTCACATGTATATCTCATTAAAATAATCTTCCTAATAACTCATAAAATTGATAGTATTATTATGCCAATTTTGCAGATAGGGAAATGAAGCACAGCAAAGTAGTTTGCCCAAAGCAAGAGAGGTTTCAGGAAGTGAGCCAAAATTAAAATTCAGACAAACATCTCCATTAATCAAAGACTACACCCTATGTTATTTATTCCACTGTACTACACTACATTCTCAGGAAAACTCCCCGAAAAAGGTAATATGTATGCTGCTTCACAAAGGACAGGAAGAATTTTGCATGAAGAGGTAAAAAGAACATTTCAGACTAACAAAACAATGTAAACAAAGGAGGTATGAATACTATAACTAAATGAAGCTGCAAGATATGGTATGAGAAGAGGAATGGCCACAGAAGTGAAAAGTAGCCGGAAACAAAAGTAAAACAAAACTGTACAGGGACTTGTATGCCATAGTGAGCAGTTTAACCTTTATCCTATAGACTACTAATATTGAAAGTTGATTATGCATTTCCCAGAGGGTGTATAAAACAACCCACTAGGACACAGGAAAACATGCAAATAATTCTATTTACATTCGTTTTTCACCTAAACAAGGAAGAAATATTTACCAATATTCAATGTATAAACTGACACTGGCTTCTTCACTCTGTATGTCAGCTTTCATGTCTCCCATACCATACCAATGGTCTCCACGATGTAGAGAGTGAGAGAGAGAGACAGTTATTTCTCATACTCTGCAATTCTCTTTCAGTGTATCACAAGGTACTGCAGTTTAGATAAATGGATGCAGGGATAGTTAGTATCTAGTTTAAGGTAATCTAACCTTCAAAAAATAACCACTTTAAAAGACTATTTCACAGAAATAAACTACAGAAGTATTAATGTAAGCACAAGTGAACAGAAAATGGGGAACCAATATTTTTCCCACTCCTATAACTAGAACTTCAGCCACATTAGGAGACAAAAAAAAAAGGTATCTTAATCAGAGGTGACATATTCACAAAAATTGAGTTTAAGGTACCTATAGGACATTGAAGAAGTTGAAATCAAGAATCTGGAAATTTAAAGAGTGGTCTAGCCTAGAGACTTTAGAAAATATAACCTAAAATTCTAGTCCTAAAGGAAAAAGAAGAGGGAACGGAAGGAAGCATCAAACCTCAAAACACAGTATTTAGGAAGTGGGCACAAATAGGAAAACAATGAAATAAATCGTAGTTGTCACCATGGGTGCAAGTTCCTGGTACAAGGAAACATTCAGAAAACAGAGTTGTTTTTTTCTTGAGACAGAGTCTTGCTCTGTCACCAGGCTGGAGTGCAGTAGCGCGATATCAGCTCACTGCAACCTCCGCCTCCTGGGTTCAAGCGATTCTCCTGCCTCAGCCTCCTGAGTAGCTGGGACTACAGGTGCACTAAGGGAAATACCACAGACTGCTACAGGAAGGTCAGAAAAAGTGAAAATTACTTAGCCATTAACCTGCTTTTATCAATGTGGTTACCAACAGCATGGAATAAAGAGGAAAAGTGGTTAACAGAGCTGTTTGAGTTGTAATCTAAATGGTGCAAATCTGTAGGTTACTTAACCTCTTTATGTTTCAGTTTCCCTTCGAGGTAAGTAGGCAGGTATTATTCCCAACTTATAGATAAGGAAACTATAAACAACGTCAAATAACTTACCTAAAGTACCACAGCTAGTTAAGCAGTATAAGTAGGACTCAAACCCAGGCAACTGGTATTCAAAGCTCTTAACCTCACAATATTTCGCCTCATATAGTTTCCTACCTCATAGGGTTGTTGTGAGAATTAAATGAGATAATCCATGTAAGCTACTAAGAATAGTACTGAGCATACAAATGGGGCTTAAATATTAACTATTCTTACATGAATACTATCATGACTGTTACTACTGAATGACTTCAGGAACATTAGTTTCATTAGAATATAACGGAAATCCAGAAGACAATGAAGGACTGAGCAAAAGAAGGAAAGTGAGAACAGCAACTCCAAGTTCACGTGAAGCCCTATGAAAGAAAAGTGACTCTAAGGTGGAAGAGATCCGAGCACTGTTACAGGCAATGGAGAGGAACCTGAAGACACCAAGAAATTAAACATACCCAAGAAAGAATACATGATGGTGCAAGAACTCAAAGAAGATATGGGATAAAGAGCACAGCAGAAAGATTCATCTTACACACAAGGAAGAAAAGTCCTTCCTCTAAGATAGAACAAAGTCAAAAGGACATGTAAAGGAACAGACCAATGAGACTATGCAAGAGGATGTTAGGGCTGTTCATATTACATGGCATTTATTTTCTCTGTGAATTTTTTTTTTTTTTTTTTTGAGACGGAGTCTTGCTCTGTCATTCAGGCTGTAGTGCAGTGGCGCGATCTTAGCTCACTCCAACCTCTCCCACCTGGATTCAAGCGTTTCTCCTGCCTCAGCCTCCCGAGTAGCTGGGATTACAGGCGTGTGCCACCACGACCGGCTAATTTTTTGTATTTTTAGTAAAGACGGGGTTTCACCGTGTTCCCCAGGATGGTCTCAATCTCCTGACCTCATGATCCACCCGCCTCAGCCTCCCAAAGTGCTGGGATTACAGGTGTGAGCCACCGCGCCTAGCCCTTCTCTGTGAATTAAAAAGGCAATGTCATCTCTTTAGTATGGGGGATAGGGTCTTGAGAGAACAGGAAACTTGAAGGGAATGGTAAATTTAGAATTATCACATAAAGGCAGAAAAGGGAGATGATTAGCAGTATGCCAAAGCAGTGCTAAAAAAGCTCAGATCACAAATAAAAAATTATTACAATATTACTGAGCAGGTTAAAAGACATTATGAAGCAACTGACAGTTTTTGTGAATGTCAAAAGGTACATACAGAAATGCAACCTGGCCTCTGTTGTTCCAGTTATTTAAAAGTTGAAGTGTGAACACTTAAAAACGAGATCAATTTAAAACAAAACAATGAAATAAGTTGCAATACTTGAAAATGCACATTAGTGGTTCTGAATTAGGACTCAAAATACTAGATCAAACATGTTTATTTAAACATATGTGGTCTTCAGAACTCCTTAATTACTTGTTTAAACAATGAAACATACTGGAGGCCACAAATATATATGCATTTTCTTTGTCATTTCATAAAACTTTTATTTAAAGAATGCTTCACCTTTACAATGAGTCCTTTCTCTGTGAACCAAGCAATTAAGTAGGCAGACCTATTTATTAAATGGTATACTGAGTTAAAAATATGTTTATAGAATGCCTTGACATTTCAATGAGGTAGGTAAGCCTTCCTTTAGCTTTAAAGGACAGCTGCAAAAATACTATACCATCAGCTTCCCAGTGGGCTGAAAGGAAAAAGGTCATGCATCCCATCAGCTTCTCTAATACTAACTATGGTACTAGAAATCCTTAGCTCTTCCTTGGGGGTATAATATATATTTTATATTTAAATATTCCAAACATAGACATCCTGAAAAAAAGAAACACTGAGATATGCATTAAAGTCTTCGTATCGCAGTAACGTTTTCCTTTAACATTAAACTTCATGCAAAAATAACTTAGTTTTGGATAATTACTTGTTAATTGCCTTATTTAATGGTGCATTTGCTTCCTTAGGAAAAAAAATTGGTTATATATTCTCCATTATTAGAAGAAAAGAAATCAAGACATTAAAAAAGATTCTAAAATGCCTGCTGGTCACAGTCCAACTGTGTAGATGTTAAATGAAGGAAACATTATAACGTTATTACTTGAGGAACACTGTTTTTCTATTATGACAGAAAAATAGTTCTTAAGTACTCACTATAATTTCATCAATGATTCATGTTACTGAAAACAATGTCTATGTCTTCCACTGTTTTGCCCTCATTATCATCAATTATACAAAGCGAACATTTCAGCATCATCAATAAACATGGGCATAAATGATTTTTCAGTGCTCACAAGGCAAATCCTTGTTGAAAGTGTGTTGAAACTAAAGTAACTACTACTGAAAAAAACAAAGCAAAATTATTTTACACTACTTTATCTATCAGGCTATTACTCTCGACAGCATTTGATTTATAACACCAGAAGTGTTAGCTCTCTATAAACCCATAATTATTAAAACATAATTAAATGACTAAACTTTCAACATTTTTAAAGATCATTTTAATTGTGTTGTTCGGTTCTATTATTAAATCTTCCTGCAGTAAATTTGAAAAAAAAAATTCCCTCCTCACGCCTTTGTTCGTGCATTGTGGAAGCCGATCCTATATAGTGGATTCTTTTTCCACATTAATTCCCTTTCTTACCTCCACTGTTTTGCCTTCGTGTTCATAAAGGCCGGGACTTGCAATAAAAATCTACAGGTTTTAACGAACTATTAACAAGGAAATCAACTTGATACCTAGTCACCCCTATATCCTTTTGTAAAGATGAGGTACCAGGAGAAATGCGCACTACCCTCAATAGACCTCACCCTTGCTATACAGGTTTTAGTTTATTTTAGCAATAGGAGTGCAAGAAGTTTTTGCTACATTTCTGTAAATAGCTAAAGAATGAAAAGGAAAGAGGTGTGAAAAGGAGGGTGAAAAACGCCAGAGACACTCAAGTTAGAATATTACCAAACTGTGATGGGATAAGCGGGAGATCTTGGTGGGAGACGCTGGATCGTACACTTGTGTTTCTTAAAGAATCAGTGCCACTGTCAATCTAGCTGATTTAGATAAACCTTATACGCACAAAATTCAGAGATGGGTTCATACAGAGTGACATTAGTCACAAAATCTTACTCTGAGCAACTTCAGCCCATGAATGGGGATGGAATACAGAGAAACACACTGTTGGGAGAACAGCCCATTCAGACTTCTCTGAAGGCACTTATCCTCACGGACAACACGCTCGTTTTAGGGCTCCCCTAGAGTTCCAGGTTTCAAAAGTCACGCTGCGGCAGCGAAGGAAGGAAACCTAGACAAGGGGTAAACACCCGATGGTGGGTACGCTTTGCCATTCGGGGGCTGGGGGGACAGGGGCGAGAAGGAAAGAAATGAGGGTGCACGGAGCGCGGAGGCACAGCGGCAGCTGCAGCCTGAGCGCCCGCCGACGGGCACCTGTCCGCGGGACACCCAGGCCGGCAGTGCCCAAGTCCCAGCTGCGGTGCAGAGGAACTTGTGCCGCGCCCGGGGCTGCCGCCTGGGGGTCCCCGCCGCAAGCGAGGCGAACGCAGCACCGCCTCGGGAGAAGGTGACGGGGTGCCGAGGGCAACAGAGAGGGGCGTGCGCCCACACGTGCGCGAGCTGCAGGTGCCCAGGGGCGGCGCGTGCACGCCGGAGTGCGCGCGAGTGTGCGCGTGTGTACACACGGACACCGGAGGGAGGCGGCACCGGCCGGGAGGGCGCGAGGCGGGAGCTCGGGCGGAGGGCGCCGCGGCACACACAGCCTGACCCCCGCCCCCACCCTAACCCCCACCGCCCGCACCCCCAGGACTCGACGGGCCGGTTACCTTTCTCCTCTCTCCACACCTTTTTCTTCTTGTTGCTGGGGTACATGTTGCCGTGGGGGTGGCTGGCTTTAAGCTGCAAGTTCCCCAGGCTCACGGGCAAACAGGGTGTGTGTGGAGTGGGAGGGGTGGGAGGGGGCACTCAGCAGGGAAAAAGTGAAAGAGGCTCTGCGTCCTGCGCTGCTCGCCGCTCGCCGCTCTCCAGTCGCCGCCCTCCTCCCTCAGCCCGCGCTCGGCTCCGGCTCCCACCCGCCTCAGCCCCGCGGACGCCGCCACAGCAGCACCTCAGAGCCTGTCAACTAGGTCACGCCTCGCGCTAACCTAACACCCGCGCAGGCACCGCCTACCAGCCGCTAGGCAGCGCCGCCTCCCATTGGCTGCACTGCCCGCCGCTCTCCGTGTTCTAGCCACGGCGCGCCCCAACTTGGGCCCCAGGGCGCACGCGCAGGCGCAGGCTCGGGCTCGACGCCGACGACGCTAGGGAGCTGGAGGGGGCGGAGCCAGGGAGCGAGGGGGCGGAGCCAGGGAGCGAGGGGGCTGGAGCTGTCCTCGAGACGTGGGCGCGGCGTGAAGCCGACGCCTAGTGGGAGAGGGAGGTGGACCGCGCTTACCGCTGGCCTCTTGGAAGACTTGAGGGCGTGGCCTGTAGAGCCAGGTGCGCCAAGTGACAGGCGAGCTAGCGGAAAGCCGCCTCAGGGACTTGGAGGATGTAGAAGTGGGAGGAGACCGAGGGTCAACACGAATTGTCCGTGCTCACTCCAACTGCCCTGTTGAGGAGGATTTTCACCAGGTAATCTGATGCTTTCCTCTGGGTGGGCAACTAAAAAAGACCAAAAGAAATGAAAGTATTGGCAAATGGTTCCACATCGTATGCAGTTGGCTCCTCAAACCTGTAGTGAAAATTACAAATTTCATTGGAATTTGGTGAAGTTTAGAAAGAACAAATGTAGACTGCGATACTCAAGACGGTTTTAAGAACCAAGAAGTTGCGGACAACCAAAATGTTATATTGAAAACACGTCTTACGTCAAAACAAATCCAGATGCCTGTTAACCAGAGCCGAGTGGTCTTACTTTATTCTACCAATTGCTTAATGTTAAGACGCAGGTCCAAAAAGCTGGCTTGATTCTGGATAATACTCACCTGGCGGGTTCTGAAAATCCAGTTTCACTAAAGTCCGCCACATGAGTAGGGTGACCTATAATTTAGAAGTTTGGTACCCTCCCCCCAAATTTGTTGTGTTTCTATATATCAGATCATCTTCAAGGCTAATTGAGTGGATGTTGTAAATCCACATTTATTTGGCAGTTTGGGTACTTGTTATATATATTGGGCAAATAATTATTTGGAACACATTTTTAAAAAATAATAGAAGAGAAAAGGAAGAAAGGGGGGAGGCCCCAAAAAGAATTGTAAAGAATGGAATATTTTTAGTAGTAGGACACTCTCATAAGGATGATTCACAACATGGTAAGGTAATTTTTGTTTTGTCTTTTTTTTTTTTTTTTTTTTTTTTTGAGGCAGAGTTTCACTCTTGTCCCCCAGCTGGAGGGCAATGGCTCCATCTCAGCTCACTGCAACCTCTTTCTGCCAGGTTCAAGCAATTCTCCTGCCTCAGCCTCTGGAGTAGCTGAGATTACAGGCATGCGCCACCATGCCTGGCTAATTTTGTATTTTTTTAGTAAACATGGGTTTTCACCGTGTTGGCCAGGCTGGTCTTGACCTCCTGACCTCAAGTGATCCCAAAGTGCTGGGATTACAGGCGTGAGCCACCGTGCCCAGCCTGTTTTTCTTTTAATGCTGTGAAATACGAAAAAAAATAGATTTGGGATAAATAAAGAAGGCTTCAAGAAGGAAGTGACATTTGAGCTAGTAATAAAAATATGTACTTATTTATTGGCACTAGAAATAGAAAGAGGTCTTTGATTAGAGACATTACCAGGGAAGAATAAATAAAACCTGATAATGCAATAGATTTTGAAAGAAAGGTGAGGAAGAAAAGAAAAACATTTCATAGGATGGGTAAGGGGGCAAAATAGCAATGCTAATATTAAGCAATATGGGAACAGTTGCAGATTTTGTAGAAAAGATATTGACTTCTTATGTAGAAATGTGAAAGGTAAGACAAGTACATCATACTAGACACCTTCCCTTCAACAGAGAAGCTGTTTGCACTCCAGCCTCCAGCCAGTCCTTCCACATGTGCTTTCTTAGGAACATTACACTATTGATTATCTTTTCTTTCATGTCAGCTCAAAGAACTGGAACTTTTATTGTGTGAAAGCACATTAAAAGTATGTAGAGGGCATTTGTTCCAGCATTTAGTATTAATCACTCTGACAAAATACCATTATCATTCAAAACTGTTAAATATTTAACATCCCTAAAGTACTTGAAATGTGCCGTGTACCAAACTGAACTCATGCTCCTTCTCCCAGTTTTCCCCATCTCTTCGAATGGCTCCATTACCCGTTTAGTTGAAAAATCTGGAAACCTAAGCACCATCCCTGGTACCTCTTATAACTTCACTCTCATATCAAATCGGTTGCTATACCTACGCAATTTTATTGAGCGGTCTGTATAAGTCTGGAATCACTACTTTCCAACAGCATTGCAGTAAACTTAGTCTGAATTTAGCTGGACTATTGCAAAGACTTCCTAAGTGGCCTTCATGCCCACTGTTGCCCCTCTTCTGTCCATTGTCTAGACTGCATCTAGTGATACCTTGTCAGAAGTGATCACGTCTTCTCACTTCTGTAAGTCATTCAATGACTTTCTGGTGGTCTTTACTATGGACTGACTTACGTGCACCCAAAATTCATATGTTGAAGCCCTAATCTCCAATGTGACTAAATGTGGAGATTAGGTCTTTACGAAGTAATTAAGTTTAAATGAGGTCATAAGGGTGAGTGAGGTTAATAGGACTGAGGCCTTATAAGAAGAGGGAGATCTCTTTCATCCTCTCCTCCCACCCCCTTTCCCTGCTATATGAGGACACAGCAAGAAGGTAGCCATCTTGCAAGCAGGAAGAAGACCCTCACCAGAACCTGGTCTCAGATTTCTAGCCATCAGAACTGAGAAAATTAATTTCTGCTGTGTAAAGTCACCCAGTCTATATTATTTTGTTGCATACAGGCTAATACAGTCTTTTTATAACAATTAAATTATTAAGAATGGAGTGACTATCACCTACTAACCCAGCCTTATTTTATACTATGCTCCATACCACCCCCATTCCCCAGTCTCTGATTCCAGCCCACAGAGCATCATTTCATGTTCTGGAACACCATATAGCCTTTTTCTTTTTTGAGACGGAGTTTCACCCTTGTTGCCCAGGCTGGAATGCAATGGCGCGATCTTGGCTCACTGCAACCTCTGCCTCCCAGGTTCAAGCAATTCTCCTGCCTCAGCCTCCCGAGTAGCTGAGATGACAGGCATCTACCACCATGCCCGGCTAATTTTTGTATTTTTAGTAGAGACGGGATTTCACCATGTTGGCCAGGCTGGTCTTGAACTCCTGACCTCAGATGACCCACCTGCCTCAGCCTCCCAAAGTACTGGGATTACAGGCATGAACCACGGCACCCAGCCCACATAGCCTCTTAACATGTTCATTGCAACACCTGGGACATGATTTGTTTAGCTGACTCACTCTCGTTCTTCATATTTCAGCTTGAACATCACTCCCTAGCAAAGCCTTCCCTGACTCTGACCCTACCTGACCTTTGTTTGCCGCTTCCCCTTATATGCCTTCATTGCTCATTGATTTTCCTATAAAGAAGTTTGGGTTTGTTGTTGTTGTTTTGAGATGGAGTCTCACTCTGTCGCTCAGGCTGCATTGCAGTGGCACAATCTCTGCTCACTGCAACCTCCACCCCTCAGGCCCCTGGCCCCAGGATTCAAGCACTTCTCATGCCTCAGCCTCCTGAGTACCTGAAACTACAGGCGCATACCACCACGTCCAGCTAATTTTTGTATTTTTAGTAGACACGGGGTTTCGCCATGGTGGTCAGCCTGGTCTCGAACTCCTGGCCTCAAGTAATCCAACTGCCTTAGGCTCCCAAAGTGCTGGGATTACAAGTGTGAGCTGCCACGCCCAGCCAACATTAAGGATCTTGAGAGAGAGAGAGATTGTTCTGGATCATGTTGGTGGGCCCTAAATGTAATCACAAGTATCTTTATAAGAGGGGCACAAAGGGAGATTAAACTACAGAAGGCAAGTGATGACTGAGCAGAGACTGAAATGATGTGGTCACAAATCAAGGAATGCTGGCAGCCACTTAGAAGCTGAAAAATTCCAGGCCAAGAATGGATTCTTCCCTGGAGCCTCCAGGAGGAGCTAGCCTTGTCTTTGATTTTAGCCCTGTAAGAATGGTTTTGGAATTCTGGTCTCTAGAACTATGAGAGAATAAATTCCTGTTGTTTTAACCCATTACGTTTGTGGTAATTTGTTATCACAGCAATGGGAAACTAATAAAAGGAATAAAACTGTAAATTCAAAACAATAAAATGTCTATTTCTAAAGTAATGACCTGGACAGACTGTAAAAGTTGGATATTTTTTGTAGGCATAATTTCTCAACTAGCTCTGTGCCTTGGATATTTTTAATATTTATATGTTTTCCCTAAATATTCATTTTGATTTCTCGTAGCTTTGAAGGTACCACTTGTGAGATGTCTGTATTATCTGAGGTATGTAAAGACATTGTTAAACAGTCTTTGTTTGCCTTTGTTCCAGTAAATCCTCAGCAGTTTCTAACTGGAAAAGAGGATAAAGATTTTCATCCAGATTGGGAACAAAGCAGACTTGGCCCATTGTTTCTTTTCCGCCATAGCCTAGAGATACCAGCTTACAGGATGATGTCAGATCAGTTCATGTACCTTAATTGTGTTTTTACATAAGTGTAGTTTGTACCTCTAGAGGCAACATAAAAATAAGAACTTCCAGCACCCCTGAACACAGTTGAACGTGTGGACACGTACGAGTCGGACTTCTGGTCCCTTCCTTTCATGTTAGAGAGCCACCCCTAATTTCTAGCCTACCCCTTATCTTCAGCCAGAGGAATAGCAGTGGATCCTTTCCACAGCCTACATTCTCCAGCAGCTGCCTTCATTCCGGCTTGAAAGGAACACTCTGGCAGCCCATTGGCCCAAGAGTAAGGAAATGGTTGCTTAGCAACTGACTCCTGCCCCCACCACAGTCCCTGAGAAGAGGAGCTCTTGGGCCAATCACCTAGTTTCTGCCTGTGTTACAGTGAAGAGAAGCTGCTTAAGAGAAGATGAAGCCCTTGTCTCTGTTAATAGAGATATTGATAATTCTTGGGGTCACAATTAAAAGTAAGTTTTTTTGTCCTTAGAGTTCTCTATGAGGGTCTCTTCTCTTTGCTCAAACAGCGCCAAGGGCAGAAGCCAATTAAAAGACTAGAAGTAACTTTACTATATCCCTAACTAATGCCATTTTTGTACAGGTACTTTAAAATGTCCAATAAGAATAATAGATGATAATGATAGTCTCACTTGGGATAATACTTGGGAAGGGTGTGTACTTGGGAAGGGTGTGGGGGATGGGGAAAAAACAAATCTATGAGGAAACCACTACAGTAATTGTTATAAAGTAGGGATATTTAGGGCAAGTTGTTAAGTGTTATTAAATTTAGAATATCATAAAGGTCTAGTTCCAAGACTTTAAAGGAAAAATATAAGACTCAAAGAGTGTGAAAGATGTATAAACATGCTTTTTTAAAATATTTACACAATAACAATTTCACTTCCAAAGTTTCAATGTTTCCTAAATAGTTACTATCTGAAAATGGAAGTTATTTTCCATCTTGTTTCTTTGGCCATTTTTTTAGTTACTTTTTACCCAATCCTCATATAATGTGCTCATGATAAATTCAATTTAAGAAATATGTATTTGGTCCCTGCTTGTCTAGTGGTTAGAATTCAGCACTCTCACTGCCACAGCCCAGGTTCAATTCCCTGTCAGAGAAAAGGAAAAAAAAAGAAATATTTGGATTTTACCCAGAAATGTAAGATTGGTTTACCACCCATAAATCAATGTAACAATCACATCAACAGAATAAAAGACAAAGATCACATGATCATTCTAATCTAGTAAAAGCATTTGACAAAATTCAACAGGCTTTGTGATAAAAATGTGTGACAAACTAAGAATGGAAGGAAACTTTATCAACCTGATAGAAGATATTGAAAACCCAAAGCTACTATATTTAATGGTGAAAGACTGACTGCTTCATCCCTAACATCAGGAATAAGACAAGGATGTCCACTTTTGCCATTTCTGTTCAACATTGTACTGGAAGTTCTAGCTATGGCAATTACACAAGAAACAAAAGTAGAAGATATCAAGCTTGGAAAGAAAGAAGTAAAATGATCTGTATTCACAGAAGACATGATCTTGTATACAGAAAATCGTATGGAATCAACTACGAAACTATTAGAACTAATAAATGAGCTCCATAACAAATGCAGGATAAATACAAAAAAAAAGTTCTATTTCTATACAGTAGCAGTGAGCAAACCAAAAATGAAATTATGAAAGAAACTTTATAATAGTATCAAAAATGAACTACTTAAGAATAAATTTTACAAAAAAAGTGTGAAACTCATATTCTGATGACCACAAAAATTGTTTAAAGAAGTTAAAGAAGACTTCACTACATGAAAAGACTTCCCATGTTCATGAATTGGAGAACTTAATATTGGTAAGATGGCAATACTCTCCAAATTGATCTACATATTCAACACAATCTTTATTTATTTGTTTATTTATTTATTTTGAGATGGAGTTTCGCTCTTGTTGCCCAGGCTGGAGTGCAATGACGTGATCTCGGCTCACTGCAACCTCCGCTGCCTGGGTTCAAGCCGTTCTCCTGCCTCAGCCTCCCAAGTAACTGAATTACAGTCGTCTGCCACCACGCCTGGCTAATTTTTTGTATTTTTAGTAGAGACGGGGTTTTATCATGTTGGCCAGGCTGGTCTTTAACTCCTGACCTCAGGTGATTCACCCGCCTAAGCCTGCCAAAGTGCTGGGATTACAGGAATGAATCACACCGCATCTGGGCTTCAACACAATCTTTATCAAAATCCCAGCTGACTTCTTTTCAAAAATTGGCAAACTGGTCTTAAAATTCATATGGAAAAAAATGTTCCTGAAAAAGAAGAATGGAGTTGGAGGACTCACACTTCCCAATTTCAAAACTTACTACAAAGCTACAGTAATCAAGACAGTATGGTCCTGATGTGAAGATAGACATATAGGTTACTGGAATGGAATTGAGAGTTTTACAAGTAAACTATCACACTTATCATCAACTGATTTTTGGCAAAGATGCCATGAAAACTCAGTGTGGGAGGTGCAGGAGGAGATAATCTCTCCAACAAATGGTGCTGGGACAACTGGATAACCACATGAAAAAAATGAATTTGAAAAAAATAAATAAAACAGTTTTTAAAGGCTAGGCACAATGGTTCGTATCTGTAATCCCAGCGCTTTGGGAGGCCTAGGCAGAAGGATCACTTAAGGCCAGGACTTTAAGACCAGCCTGGTCAACATAGCGAGAACCTACCTCATCTCTTTAAAATTAAACCAAAAATAAATAAAAATTCATAAGAATGAATTTGTACCCCCACCTCATACCTCATATACACAAATTAATTCAAAATGGATCAGAGACCTACACATATAGCTAAAGATTTAAAACTCTTAGAAGAAAACATAGGCATAAATCTTCCTAACTTTGGATTAAGCAGTGATTTCCTAGATATGCCACCAAAAGCACAAGCAAAAAAGGAAAAACCAAACTGGATATCAAAACTAAAAACTCTTCTGTTTTGGAGGATATCTTCAAGAAACTGAAACGACAACCCACAGAATGAGAGAAAATTTTTGTGACTCATATATCTGATGAGAATTCAGTATTCAGAGTATACAAAGAACCTTACAACTCATCAACAAAATGACAACCCAATTTAAAAATGGGCAAAGAAATTGGATAGAAATTTTCCCAAAGAAGATGAACAAATGACCAAGCACATGAAAGATATTCAACATCATTGGTCATTAGGGAAATAAAAGCAAAAAGCACAATGAGTTATCACATCACACCCACTAGGATGGTTATAATCAAAAAACAGGAAATTATCGGCCGGGCGCAGTGGCTCACACCTGTAATCCCAGCACTTTGGGAGGCTGAGGCAGGTGGATCACGAGGTCAAGAGATCCAGACCATCCTGGCCAACCAACATGGTGAAACCCTGTCTCTACTAAAAATACAAAAATTAGCTGGGTATAGTGGCTCACATCTGTAGTCCCAGCTACTCAGGAGGCTGAGGCAGGAGAATCGCTTGAACCCCGGAGGCAGAGGTTACAGTGAGCCGAGATCGCACCACTGCACTCCAGCCTGGGCAACAGAACAAGACTCTGTCTCAAAAAGAAACCAAACAAAACAACAACAACAACAAAAAAAAAAAAAAAAAAAACAGTAAATTAACAAATTTTGGAAGGATGTGGAGAAACAAGAACCTTCACACATTGCTGGTTGGAATATAAAATGGTATAGTCACTGTGGAAAACAGTGTGGCAGTTCCTTAAAACGTGAAATATAGATTTATTAGGTTGGTGCAAAAATAATTGCGGTGTTGGCATTAAAAGTAATGGAGAGGCCGGGCGCGGTGGCTCACGCCTGTAATCCCAGCACTTTGGGGGGCTGAGGTGGGCAGATCACGAGGTCAAGAGATGGAGACCATCCTGGCTAACAAGGTGAAACCCCGTTTCTACTAAAAATACAAAAAATTAGCTGGACTTGTGGCGGGCACCTGTAGTCCCAGCTACTCGGGAGGCTGAGGCAGAAGAATGGCTTGAACCCGGGAGGCGGAGCTTGCAGTGAGTCGAGATCGCGCCACTGCGCTCCAGCCTGGGTGACAGAGCAAGACTCTGTCTCAAAAAAATAAAAAGTAATGGAGAAAACCACAATTACTTTTGCACCAACCTATACAATGTGACCTATTAATTTCATTACTAGGTATATAACCAAGAGAAATGAAAACATAATATTCACACAGAAATTTGTACACAAATATTTATAGAAGCATTATTCATTAGAGCTTAAAGGTGGAAACAACCCAAATATTGACCAACAAATGAGTAAATAAACAAATTGTGGTATATACATTGGAATATACATACAATGGAATATTACTCAGCCATAAAAAAATGAAGTGCTCATAGGTGTTACAACTTGGATAAACCTCAAAAACAATTGTGCTACATGAAAAAAGCGAGACAAAAGGTTGCCTATTATATGGTTCTTATTTTATGAAATATCTGAAATAGGCAAATTCATAGAGATGGAAAGCAGATTACTGGATTAGGGAATGGCAGAGGGGAGAATGGGGAGTGACTGCTTAATGGGTACAGAGTGTACTTCCGGGATGATGAAGTTTTGAAACTGTAGAAAGGTAATGGCTGTACAACACTGGGAATGCACTAAATGTCACTTAATTGCACACTTTAAAACGGGTAATTTTATGTTATATGGATTTCACCTCAATTTTTTTTAAAATGTTGCA
Organism: Homo sapiens; assembly: GCF_000001405.40. Lineage (NCBI taxonomy): Eukaryota > Metazoa > Chordata > Mammalia > Primates > Hominidae > Homo > Homo sapiens. The sequence goes on along the minus strand of NW_025791811.1, from coordinate 199,831 downwards.
ATGCTTTGGTAAACAGTCTGGCAATTCCTCAAAAGGTTAAACATAAAGTTACTATATGATCTAATAGTTCCATTGCTAGGTATATATCCAAGAGAATTGAAAACATTTCCATACAAAAACTTACACATAAATAGTAGCATTATTCATAATAGACAAAAAGTGGAACTAGCCCAAATGTCCAGCAACTGATGAACAGATCAACAAAACGTGGTATATCCATACAATGGAATACTCAGCAAAAACAACAAACGAAGTATGATATGGATAACCTTGAATACATGCTAAGCAAAAGAAGGTAGACACAAATGGCCACATATCATGTGACTTCCTAGGTATGAAATGTCCATAATAAGCAAATGCACAGAGACTGAAAGTCGGTTACTGGTTACCTAGGCCTGGGAGGTATGGGGCAATTGGGGAATGATGACTAAGGGGTACAGGATTTCTTTTTGGGGTAATGAAAAATGTTCTGTGATTGTGGGATGTTTGCATAAATTTGTGAATATCCTAAAGGCCATTGAATTGTAGAGGGAGAAAATAAATCTTTAATGAAAGTTATACACCAGGAGTATTGGGGATATAAGAATACCTAAGAACAGTCCATATCCTTGAGCAGCTTAGAGTCTCGAAGAGGAAAACCAAAATATTGAATGAATAAATTATAAAGTGTTGTAGGTAATAAAACAGAAGCATTTACAGGGTACTGTAGGGCACAGAATGAGGGAGAGGTCAATTCTAATGGTGTGTGGAGTAGTCAGAAAGGCTTCACAAAGGAAATGGCATAGACAGAATCTTGAAAGATTAGTGAGTGTTCACCAAGCAGGCAAGGGAGAACAAGAACATTTCAGGCCAGAAAAAAGGACCAAAGACACAGAGGAATGAAAGAGCATTGTCTATACATAAGTGTATCAGTTTGCTGTGGTGTAGTATGTAAGAAGCAACTTATGAGGCTGGAGTGGTAGGCAGGGACTTTGTATGACAGGCTATGAAGTTTGGGCTTTATCCTGGGAGCAATGGGTAGTCATTTCAGGTTTACTCCTTGAAGAACATGAATAGAATTATGCCTTAGAAAAATGACTTTGAGAGTAGAATAGTAGCTACTAGATGTGAGGGTTGGGGGAGAGGGGATATCCAACGGTTGGTTAAACTGATACAACAGTATAGCTAAATAGGAGGAATAAGTTCTAGGGTTCTATAGCACTATAGGGTGACTATATTTAACAACAATTTATTGTATATTTTCAAATAGCTAGAAGAGCAGATTTTGAATGTTCCAAACACAAAGAAGTGATAAACTTTTGAAGTGAGAAACATGCTAATTACCCTGATTTGTTCACTACACATTGTATATATGTATCAAAATATCACACTGTGCTCCGTATATGTACAATTATTATATGTTAATTAAAAATGAAAAAAGCAAAAAAAATTTAAAAGCAAAAAATATTTAATAGCAAAAAAAGCAAATATTTAATGCCCTTTAGCAAAAAAGAAAGAAAAAAGGAAAGAAGAGGAGAGGAGGGTGATGGGAGGGGAGGGGAAGGGAGGGAGGAAGAGAGAGAGAAAGAAAGAGAGAGACTTTGGCAGTAGAGGATTGGATGTCACTGTATAACTCTGGTGACAGTGTAACTAGTAGGACATTATTGAATGGTCCAAACAAGAAACAATGAAGACTTAAACTATAGCAACAGCAGTGGGAACTGAGAAGAGTTGATGGATATCAAGGCTAAAGAGATTATCACGGAAGTCCAAGGTGAGAGAGTACTAAGAACATAGAAATTGCCAACAATGCCAAATGCCACAGAGAATGGGGAATGAGTCAGCAAGTGACCATGAAATTCAATAGCTTGAGAATTTTTATGTTTCCAGGACAGTTTCAGTGGAGAAGCATGAACAGAAACCTGATTTCAAGGCTGAGTGCGGTGGCTCACACCTGAAATCCCAGCACTTTGGGAGGCCAAGGCGGGCAGATCACCTGAGGTCAGGAGTTCGAGACAAGCCTGGCCAACATGGTGAAACCCCATGTCTACTAAATATACAAAAATTAGCCAGGCGTGGTGGCATGTGCCTGTAATCTCAGCTACTCAGGAGGCTGAGGCAGGAGAATCACATGAACCCAGGAGGCAGAGGTTGCAGTGAGCTTAGATCACGCCACTGCACTCAAGCCTGGGTGACAGAGACTTCAACTCAAAAAAAAAAAAAAGGAATCTGATTTCAATTGGTAAAAGTGAACATGAAGAGAGAAAGTAGAGACATAATGATTATAGAGTTCTTCCTGGATTGTGGCAGTGTTCAGGATCAGACTCTAGCTATCAATAGATCGTTCATTAATTGTGGGTGTATAGAGAACCAGGGAAGGAGTTAGTGGAAGAGAAAACAGTTATTTTTTAAAAGCTAGTGCTGGCGGGCCACAGTGGTTCATACCTACAATCCCAGCACTTTGGGAGGTCCAGGCGGGCAGATCACGTGAGGTCGGGAGTTTGAGACCAGCCTGACCAACATGGAGAAACCCCGTCTCTACTAAAAATACAAAATTAGCTGGGCGTGGTGGTGCATGCCTGTAATCCCAGCTACTCCAGAGGCTGAGGCGGGAGAATCGCTTGAACTTGGGAGGCAGAGGGTTGCAGTGAGTTGAGATCGTGCCATTGCACTCCAGCCTGGGCAACAAGAGCGAAACTCTGTCTCAAAAAAAAACAAAAACAAAAACAAAACAAAAAACAAAAGCTAGTGCTAAAAGACCTAAGATTCATAGGTAAAATTAGCCCTTAACCTCACTTTTTTTCCCTCTCTCTGCCCCTCTACCCTATTTCTCAAGGCAAAACAGACAGGTCTGCCCTTTTTCATTCAGATACACCTTGCAAGCTTGCATGTTGCCTTTTTATTCATTTTTTCACTTGATACTCATTGTATTTTGATTTTGCCTATATAAAATTATTGAGGGGGACATAACTATTCAATTGTCCCTGACTCTACGTTCGCCTAGGGAAATTCTTAAAAAGTTACTGAGTTATTTCCCTTTTGGTAAATCCTCAGAGTGAAATAGTGATGGAAAATGATGGAAGGAATGAACAGTCCATCCCAAAGTATATGGCTTAGAAAAATGGAAGGAAAACTAATCATGTTAAACTAATCATGTGTTTTTTTCTCTCTTCACTCTATCAACTTGGCTGCTGCTTTTTTTTTTTTTTTTTTTTTTTTTGAGATGGAGTCTTGCTCTGTTGCCCAGACTGGAGTGCAGTGGCGTGAACTCAGCTCACTGCAACCTCCGCCTCCTGGGTTCAAGCAATTCTTCTGCCTCAGCCTCCCGAGTAGCTGGGACTACAGGTGCTCACCACCACGCCCAGCTAATTTTTGTATTTTTAGTAGAGACGGGGTTTCACTATGTTGGCCAGGATGGTCTCAGTCTCCTGACCTTGTAATCCACCCGCCTTGGCCTCCCAAAGTGCTGGGATTAAGGTGTGAGCCACCGTGCCTGGCCTGCTGCTGCTTTAAGGTAGTGTAAAATATATCACTGAGGCAGAGAAAAGGCATTGCCAGGAGTTCTGGCTCTAGATCATCCAGGGTCCTGTCTCCCATCTATTTCTTCTCTTTCTTATTTATTTATTTACATCTCTCTTAGAAACAATTTTTTCTTTTTTCTTTTTTTTAATTTTTTGTTTACAATGATAGAACTTGCTACTGTCTCGGAATATACTTTTTTTTTTTTTTTTTTTTGGCAGAGTCTCATTCTGTCTCCTGGGCTGGAGTGCAGTGGCACGATCACAACTCACTATAGGCTCGACTTCCCAGGCTCAAGCATTCCTCACACCTCCACCTTCCAACTAGCTGGGACCTCAGGCATGCACCACCATGCCAGGCTAATTTTTGTATTTTTTGGAGAGAGAGGATCTCGCTGTGTTGCTCAGTCTGGTCTTGAACTCCTGAGCTCAAACGATCCTCCTGCGTCAGCCTCCCAAAATGCTGGGATTACAGGCATGAGCCACCATGGCTGGCCCCATCTATTTCTTTCTAGTAGTAACTCCTATCATACACTTCTGTGATTAGAAAGGCAAAGCAAAACAACAAAAAGTTAATAGCAACTCTCTCAGACACTCACCTATCCAGCAGCTCTCTATCCCAGTTGAAAAGGGCACATAGCTCATCAATCTCACAGTAACCAGAGTCCAGAAAGCAGTTGCCTCACAGTCATGTCTAGGTCCCTGTGTGGTCCAGAAGGAGGCCACATAAAGACCAAGCCCTGGACATGTTGCAGAGGAGCTGCAGCCTAAGCAGTAGAAGCAGGAAATATCCTGCTGCTTCAGAAATGTTCTTGCTTCTACCAGTGCTATTTTGAATAACCTATGGAATTGAGAATTTCTAAATTACCTTTGCTTTCATTAAATTCTTTCATGTTGTACCTGTAACCAGGGAAAAGACAAACTGCAAGTATCTGGAGCATCTCTCCCTGAAAAGAAGCAGGAGAGACCAGGTGTTATGACAGGACTGATGACTGCAAGAGAGAAGTTTGATAACTGTGTTATGTGAGGGATCAGTAAAAAAGCACATTTCTCTTTTGTGAGTTTCCTGAAAGTTATAAGGCTTTTTCACATCTTCATATCTTAGACTTGTCTGAATGGTTTCTGATTTTGTATTTTTTTCACTGACAAATATTAATTGCATAGTTATGGGGCACAATGTGATGTTTTGATATATGTATATGTTGGGCAATGATTAAGTCAGACTAATTAACATATCCATCCCTTCATATAAGTACCATTTTTTGTGGTGAGAACATTTGAAATCTACTATTTTAGTAATTTTGAAATACAGAATACGTTATTAACTATAGTCACCATGCTGTGCAACATCTAAAACTTATTGTTACCATCTAATTGAAACTGTACTCTTTGACCAACCTCTCCCCATTCCCCACACCCCCCTCCCCAGCCTCTGATAACCACCATTCTATTCTCTATTTCTTTCTTTCTTTTTTTTAGGGGGGTTGTGGAGTTTTGCTCTCGTTGCCCAGGCTGGAGTGCAATGGCACGATCTCGGCTCACTGCAACCTCCACCTCCCGAGTTCAAGTGATTCTCCTGTCTCAGCCTCCCAAGTAGCTGGGACTATAGGTGCACACCACCATGCCCCGCTAATTTTGTATTTTTAGTAGAGACGGGGTTTCACCATGTTGGCAAGGCTGCTCTCAAACTTCTGACCTCAGGTGATCCACCCGCCTTGGCCTCTCAAAGTGCTGGGATTACAGGCGTAAGCCACCGGGCCCAGCCTCTACTCTCTATTTTTATGAGTTTCAACTCTTTAGATTCCACATATAAGTGAGATCAGGAAGTATTTCTTTCTCACTTCCTGGCTTATTTCATTTAGTATAATGTACTCCAGGCTCATCCATGTTGTTGCAAATAGCATGATTTCCTTTTTTCTAAGGCTGAATAATATTTCATTGTATATATATACAACATTTTCTTCATCCATTCATCCATTGATGGACACTTAGGTTGTTTCCATATCCTGACTATTGTAAATCATGCTGTAATGAATATGGGAGCGCAGACATCTTTTCGACATACTGATTTCGAGTCCTTTGGATATATACCTAGAGGGGGGATTGCTGGATCATATGCCAATTCTTTTCTTTGAAGAATCTCTATCTATGTTGTTTGACATAATGGCTGTACCAATTTATATTCCCACTCACAGTGTATAAGATTTCCCTTTTCTCTGGCCAGGTGTGGTGTCTCACACCTGTAATCCCAGCACTCTGGGAGGCCGAGGCAGGTGGATCACCTGAGGTGAGGAGTTTGAGACCAGCCTGGCCAACATGGTGAAACCCTATCTCTACTAAAAATAAAAAAATTAGCCAGGCACATGCCTGTAATCCCAGCTACTTGGGAGCCTGAGGCAGGAGAATAGCTTGAACCCAGGAGGCAGAGGTTGCAGTGGGCTGAGATCACGCCACTGCACTCCAGCCTGGGCAACAAAGCAAGACTCTGTCTCAAAAAAGATTTCCCTTTTCTCCACATCCTCACCAACACTTCTCATCTTTCATCTTTTTTCTAACAAGTGTGAGGCAATATCTCGTTGTGATTTTAATTTGCATTTTCCTGATGATTAGTGATATTGAACATTTTCTCATATATCTGTTGGCCATTTGTATGTCTTCTTTCAAGAAATGTCTATTCAGGGTTTTTGCCCATTTTTTAATCAAGTTGTTTGTTTTCTTCCTATTTAGTTGAGTTTCTTATATATTTTAGATACTAGTCCTTTATCAAATGTATGGTTTGCAAATATTTTCTCCCAATTCATGGGTTGTCTGTTCAATTTATTAATTGTTTTCTTTGCTGTACAGATTTTTAGTTTGATGTAAATTCTGTTTGTCTGTTTTCATTTTGTTGCTTATGCTTTTTGGGGTTATATTTAAGAAATCACTACCCAGGCTAATACTATGAAGCTTTTCCTCTATATTTTCTTTTAGTACTTTTAGAGTTTCTGGTCTTATGCTTAAATCTTTTTTATTTTTTTGAAATGACAAAGTGACTGGGTTTATTTGTAAGTAACTAGATTAAATTTTCTTCCATTGTGCCAATATGTAGCCCAACACAGAGATTAAGTGCCAGTTTCAGGAAAATAAAGTTATATTTTTGTCAGCCTTGAATGTATGTCTTCTGAATATTTTTTCTTTTGTTTTTCGTTGATACATAATCATGCATCAATTTCATCAACGATGCAGAGTGATACTTCAGTACATATATATAATGTGTAATGATCAAATCAGTTATTAGCATAGCACCTCATTTATTATTTCTTTGTGTTGTAAACATTCAAAATCTTCTCTTCTAGCTTTTCCGAAATATGCAATAAGTTGTTAACCATATTTATCCTATAGTACCATAGAACACTAGAATTTATTTCTCTTATCTAGCTGTATTTTTGTATCAATTAACCAACTTCTCCCTATCCTCCTCTCTTCCCATCCTTCCTATTATCTAATAACCACAATTCTACTCTGTCACTTATATGAGCTCAATTCTTTCAGCTTCCACATATGAGTGAGAAAATGCAGCGTTTGTCTTTCTGTGCCTGACATTTCACTTAACATTATGTCCTCTGGGCTCATCCATGTTGCAAAAATGACGATTACATTCTTTTTTTCTTTTCTCTTTTTTCTTTTTGAGACGAGTCTCACTCTGTTGCCCAGTCTAGAGTGCAGTTGCATGATCGCAGCTCATTGCAACCTCCACCTTCTGGTTTCAAGCGATTCTTGTGCCTCAGCCTCCCAAGTGACCGGAAATTACAGGCGTGCACGATCATGCCTGGCTAATTTTTGTATTCTTAGTAGAGGCGGGGTTTTGCCATGTTGGGCAGGCTGGTCTCAAACTCCGGACCTCAAGTGTTCCACTCGCCTTGGCCTCTCCCAAAGTGTTGGGATTACAGGCGTGAGCCACCGCACCTGGTGATTTCATTCTTTTTCATGGCTGAATAATATTTCATTGTGTATATTTTTATTTTATTTTTTATTTGTATACTTATTTTATATTTTTATATTTTCGTTTATCTGTTGATGAATATTTAAGTTGACTTCATATCTTGGTTATTGTGAATAGTGCTGCAATAGATATGGAGGCACAGGTGTCTCTTCAGTATACTGATTTCCTTTTCTTTGGATAAATAGTAGTAGGATTGATGGATCATATGGTAATTCTATTTTTAGTTTTTTGAGAAACCTCTATACTGCTTTCCATAATGGCTGTACCAATTTACTTTCCACTAACAGTGTTTAAATGTTCCCTTTTCTCCACATCCTTGCCAGCATTTGTTAATTTTTGTCTTTTTGATAATAGAGCTATTCTATTGTGTTTAGGTTTTTAATACATTTTGAGTTGATTTTTGTATGCCTTGTGTGATAAGGGTCCAATTTCATTCTTCTGCAGTGGATATACATTTTTCCCAACACCATTTGTTGAAGACAGTGTCCTTTCCTCATCATGTGTTCTTGGCACCTTTGTTGAAAATCAATTGACTGTAAATACGTAAGTTTACTTCTGAGCTCTCTATCCTGTTCCGTTGGTCAGTGTGTCTGTTTTTAGTCCCGTATCATGCTGTTTTGAGTATTATAGATTTGTAATATATTTTGAAGTCAAGTAGTGTGATGTCTCTAGCTTTGTTCTTTTTGCTCAAGATTGTTTTGGCTATTTGGGGTCTTTGGTAGTTCCACACAAAATTAATGGCTGTTTTTTTTCTATTTTTGTGAAAAATGATGTTGGGATATTGATAGAGATTGTATTGAATCTGTAGATTGCTTTGAGTAATGTGGACATTTTTACAATATTAATTTTTCCAATCCATGAATATATCTTTTTATTTATTTATGCCTCCTTGAATTTTTTTCATCAAATTTTTATAATTTTTAGTATACAGATCTAAAAGGTTTCTGTATCAAACAATTACTACTACTTTTTGGATCTATTCAGTAGGGTAGCACTTATTGGAGAGAGGACAGTCTTCGGCCTGGGGAGAGCTAGGGGAACAGACCCCCTTGCAGAACACATAAATACTCATGCATCAGCTTTATCTCAGCTTCATTGAGTTCTTTTTGTCTGACAGGAATCACTCTTCCCAATTCCACTCCACTTTTTTTTGCACATAAGGGTTCATAAGTCTCTCCCATTTTATGTATATCCCAAGAATTCTGTTTGCCAGTGTTAGCCTTCTACCTGCTCCTAATGGATCCCAAGATCTATCCCCCCATCAATTGAAACTGCTTTCTCAAAGAACGCCAACAGCTCATTGATTACCAATCCAGCGGCCTCTTGCTGTTCTTTCTGCTAACTTCTGTGCACCATGTGACATTACTCACCATCTTCTTTTTCCCTCTTCCTCTGTATAGCCATCTCAGGCTCTTTCATGGGCTTGTCTTTCTCAATTCACCTTTTAAATGCTGTGCCCAAGGTTCGGTGCTTGGCTTTCTTGCTCTTCATATTCTATGCTTCTTGTGCTCTCACCCAAGCCCCACAACTTTGTTTACATGTGTGTCTATATCTCATACCCTCCTTCTAATCTCTAGACCAGCATATCCAGCTACATGATGATCATGAACAATGTATGCAGATTCCTTAAATCAACATTTGTTTTCAAGGTTACTTCCTCCTGTGTTTTTTCTCTTGTTAATGGCATCAACTATCCTTCCCTGCTCACCTTGTTCTCAAGTACTCCAAATTGCATGATTATACAGTTCTAATTCCCCTAAGTATCATTTAATTCAGTGTTTTTACAGATAAGACTGAGGCCCACCATGGTGAAATTGCTTCTCCCGGGTCATCTTGCAAAGCTAAATCTAGAACCAGAATCTCCTAATCGTTTATATTTATTCATTCCCTTATTCTTTTACCAAATCTTGTCAATTCTACGTCCTCAGGGGTTTTCCCATCTATGCATTTTCACTGTCTCAATTTAAAATCTCATTTTAGTATCTTTTAACTACACTAATGCACTTCTAACTTGCTTTTCTCTTATCCACATACATTACTGCCAGAAATAATATTCCTCAACTCCAAATCTATCCTCATTATGTTCTCCTGCTGAGACATCCACTTTATATAGAATAAAGGTCTAATGTCTTGTCCAGTAGTCAAAATCCTATGTGATTAGATCCTAGCTTCCTTTCTATTTTGTCTTAGCTACACACGTATTTTATTTCAACCAATTCAAACTATTAGCTACTCAGTATACCTAGCTAACTCTCCCACCTCCATGTCTTTCTCAATCTGTTCTTCAGACGATCTGTCAACAGGAGTGGGCTGTCATCCGATCTTCTTCCCCATCACCGCCATAAATCTAAAGTATAGTATGTTGTTCATCTTTTAAGGTCTATCTTAAGTTCTACTTCCTCTTTAAAAAAACAGACAAACAACAACAACAACAAAAAAAAACAGTCCGGGTGCTGTGGCTTATCCCTGTAATCCCAGCACTTTGGGAGGCCGAGGCCGGTGGATCACGAGGTCAGGAGATCGAGACCAGCCTGGCCAACATGGAGAAACCCTGTCTCTACTAAAAATACCAAAATTAGCTGGGTGTGGTGGCATGCACCTGTAATCCCAGCTATTCGGGAGGCTGAGGCAGGAGAATCGCTTGAACCTGGGAGGCAAAGGTTGCAGTGAGCAGAGATGGCACCACTGCATTCCAGCCTGGCAACAGAGCGAGACTCTGTCTCAAAACAAACAAACAAACAAACAAACAAAAAACCTTGGTGGCTCATGCTTGTAATCCCAGCACTTTGGGACTTTGGGAGGGTGAAGCAAGAGGATCTCTTGAGCTCAGGAGTTCAAGACTAGCCCGGACAACATAGTAAGACCCTGTCTCTATAAACAAAAAACAAAACAAAACAAAAGTTTCCCAACCCCTTCCTAATAGCACATTGTGCCTTTATTGTCCTATGCATCAAAGTCTCATAACTAAGTTAGTTTTTAACTCCCTTAGCAGATTGCTAACTACGTGATTACAGAGATTGTGTTGTACTTGCCTTTTAGATCTCCTTTAGCTCATTGTAGAACTTGGCATTTAGTAGATGCTCAGAAGCACTTATAAAATTAAATAGTAGTTAACATACATGTAATGCTATACTTTGTAAAATACATTCCCAAAACCTGTGGAGTAGGTCATTCAAATGTTTTTATTATTCTAAATTTATAGATATTTAAAATTCTGAAGAACAGAGTTTAGTAGGACCTGAATTCTGTGGTGGGAATCAAAGGCGTTTACTCTGTATTACCTCTGTTATTTTAAGTTTGAATTCTCCAAAGGACTGTGCTGCGTATTTTCCTCACAATCATATTTACTTGCCTCAGGCTGTTTGTGCATACTATTAAACAGCCAGATGAAAAATTAAAAATTCAATCAATCATCCAAATATTTTTAAATGTAATATACATATGTTTGCTTTCATATAGAACAAACAGCCAGGTGATTGATTGAGCTATTTGCTTTTCAACCAGTTGTTTTGGCAGTATGATTATTATATAAACTCTAATAGTGACAATCAGTTTTTTATAGATTTTCTAATTTTACTGGATTCTTCCATTTATTTACTATAGTCATCTAGTCTTATTTATATCATTTATCAGCCCATAAAATGTAGTAAAAAAAACCTGGTTCTTATGACTTCTTTAAGCCTGTCCCCACAGACTTGGAACCAAGATTATAATGCTGGGATTGAAGAGAATATTCTGAGATTGGATAAAATGATTTACACCCTGCAGCTTCCATGATTGAGAGATTTAGGGAGAAAAAAACAAGAAAACATTAACTCTGGAAACAAGCAGGAGTGTCTTTGAAATCATCAGGAATTCCCAAGAGACAAAATAATCGGTGGAATTGAATTCAAAGAGAAAACTTTTGCCCAAAATGTGCAAAAGAGAATACTTCTAGGAAAGATGTACAAGTAGGTTCAGGGAAAAAAAGGAAGGAGCCCTGGTGCAGTGGCTCATGCCGGTAATCCCAGCACTTCAGGAGGCTGAGGCGGATAGATCACCTGAGGTCGGGAGCCTGGCCAACATGGTGAGACCCCGTCTCTACTAAAAATACAAAAATTAGTCAGGCATGGTGGTGGGTACCTGTAATATCAGCTACTTGGGAGGCTGAGGCACGAGAATCTCTTGAACACAGGAGGCGGAGGTTGCAGTAAGCCAGGATCATGCCACTGCACTCCAGCCTGGGGGACAGAGTAAGACTCTGTCTCAAAAAAAAAAAAAAAAAAAAAGAGAGAGAGAGAGAAAAGGAAAAAAAATAAAAAGCAGTAGGAGCAGCCTAGCAGTTCTGACCCCTACTCCCCTCTCAACCGCCACTACCACCATATACAGAGGAAAGGGCAAGACTTAGGAAAGGCTAGATTACTAGGTTGTTGGACCAACCCTCCCACTGAAATAAAATGATACATGTAAAATACAAACTTCTTAAATGCATCAGAGAGTTGAGAAGACAGTGAAGTACCAGACAAAAAATCTAGGGAAAATCTAGAATCTAGAGAAGTAAGCACAAGTGCCCCTGAGCAGAGCCAGGACTTGCCCCATCCTGGCCCCAGCCCTGCACCTGAACATCAAAGCAGCTTTTGCCCCTGTGCTAGACAAGTGTAGACATTAGTTTTAATGGCCACACAAAGAAGATAGAATCCAATACTCTAGACCCGTCCAAGGTGAGAAGTATAATAAGAGACCTTTTCAACGGAAAATGCTATACTCTTAAAATAAGGGCACACTACCCCTTCCCAAGTCCAGGGATCAGCAGGACTTAACTTTTAGCAGAGCAAAGAGAAAAAGAAAAAGAAAAATATATATCTCTGAGAAATTGTGTGGTCATGTGCCAGCCCTCACAGCTTGGGTTTACATTGCTTAGGGATTCCCAGGCACCCCAACCCTAGAACTAGATCTAAGGTTAGATCTAGGCACCTAGGTTAAACATCAGGAACCTGGCAAAAGTAAATTCATGTTTTCTCCATGGAAAGACAACTTCATCATAGGCCTCAAAGAATCCACTCTAATAAAGTGTGCAGTAGATAGTCAAAAATAAGTGCAAAAAGAGACAAATCGCCATTAGGTGGGAGCATTTGTGGTCGGCATTTGTGCCAGAGACATAGGATGCTACTGCAAATGGCTAGTGATATTCATGGAGTCTCTATTCCTAGAAGACTAGCTCTTGTTACATTCTGATAGCACACTCTGCAATACCCACAAAGTCACTGGTAGAAAGCTGAGATAATTCGTTATAGCATTCACAGACAGGCTAACGGAAAATCCAAGCCTAACACGAGGACATTAGGACTCAGCAGTGCTTACATATTCTACAGTTTGAACAATTCAGAGAATATTGGCATGGCCCTTGCACAAGGGTGACTCACAAATTTGTGAAGCATTCCATATTTTTTAAAAAGCAAACATTTGAAGACTTTTAAACATAAAATACCATAATATGTATTTAGAGAGGTTACTTAATCCATGAAACAAGAACAGGTTTTAATGAAAGAAAAAAGATATTTTAGAAATGAAATATCTGATAGCAAAAGTGAAAACCTTAAGGCTGAATAGCAAAATTGTCATAGCTGAAGAGCAACCTGGGTGCTCAAGATCAAACTGAGAAATTCCCTCACATCATAATACAAACAGACAGGGAGGTGATACATATGAAATAAAGGTTAAGGCACTTGGAGGATACATACAAACGTTACAATATCCATACAATAGGATTTCCAGAAAGAGAAAATAAAACTCAGAGGAAAAATAAATCAAATAAAATTCCCTAGATATGAAAAAAGACTCAAATTTTCACATTAAGGCCCACTTTGTGCCAAGCAAGAACACTGGGAAAAGACCCGCTCATAGAAAATAGTGGTAAAATGTGAGTACTTTATGGATAATGAGAAAATCCTAAAAGCTTCTAAAGAGAAAAACATGTTATTTACAAACAAAAAGCACCCTCTTGACTTCAGATTCTTTAGCCACACTGAGTATAAGAAGACACTAGAGAAATATTTTCTAAAATACTGAGGTGAAAATGATTTTGAACTTAGAATTCTATAATCTGACAATCAAACAAGTGTAATGACATTTTCAAACATGAGACATTTTCATACATGAATGGATTCAGAAAATTTATCACCTACAAACCCTAGCTGAAATAATAGCTAGAAGACATGCTCCAGCAAAATGAAAAATGAATCCAAGAGAAGACTGGAAGTCAGTGGTAAGCCAAGTAACCTTTAAGACTTATGATAAATCTAAATAAAGGCTTATTTTATTTTTTAGAAATACAACAATCACAGAGATTTCTTTTTAAAAATCCTTTTCACAGTAGCAACAGATGTTATAAAATAGCTAGGAATAAATTTAATGAAGCTGGAGTAAAATACCCAAGGAATAAAAATTAAAGTGTATCTGGAGAACATTAAACAAAGAAACGTGAATAAATTAAAGCTGTACATCTGAATGAATCTGTGTTGCAAATATGCCAAGTTTTTGTAAATTAACATTTCCAATCAATTGTAAATTAACAATTCCAGTCAAAATATCAACAGATTTCTAAATGAATCTGACAAGCTTATTCTAAAATTTATCTAGAAAAGAAATTACGCCGGAATTCCCAAGATAAGTTTCACAAAGAGGAACATAGAGGGCGTGTGTGTGTGTGTCCTCACACACACAGAGAAGTTCCTGCTCAACCAGATAGTAAAATATGCAATTATAAATATACAGTAATTAGATATACAGTAATTAGGGTATTGCCAGAAGAATAGAGGAGTAGATCAGGAAAACAGAACAGAGAGTTAAAAAATGGACCAGTGTATGAATAAGAATTTAGTACCTGAAAGAAGGTTTTAAAATGTAATAGGAAAGAGATGGATTGTAATGATTGCTAGTGACAAATTGTCCATTTATTTAGGACAAAATGGTAGATCCCACTTCATACGAATCACAAAAATGATCCAGATGGATTAAAAATGTAAATTGTAGCCAGGCACGGTGGCTCACGCCTGTAATCCCAACACTTTGGGAGGCTGAGGTGGGTGGATCACCTGCGCTCAGGAGTTCAAGACCAGCCTGGGCAACATGGTGAAACCTCATCTCTACTAAAAATACAAAAAAAAAAAAAATTAGCTAGCTATGGTGGCACATGCCTGTGGTCCCAGCTACTCAGGAGGCTGAGGTGGGAGGATTGCTTGAGCCTGGGAGGTGAAGGTTGCAGTGAGCTGAGACTGTGCCACTGCACTTCAGCCTGGATGACAGAGTGAGACCCCATCTCAACAAAACAAAACAAAACAAAACAAAAGTACATTGTAAAAACAAAACTATAAAAATAGTTTAAGGAAATACATTAAAATATAGATTCAAATGCTTGGTAAGAAAACCTTCTTGAACAAAACACAAACAAAAAGGTTATAAGTGAGGAAGGAATGGATAATTTTCACTGCTTCAGGATTTAAGACCTCTATGGTGAAAAGGATACAATAAACAGTTAAAAGGCTGAAAACAGACTGAAGAATATATTTACAACATACACACCATATCAAATAACATCTAGAACATATAAGGAATTCCTAAAGATTTTTTTTAAAAAAGAGCCTGATAGAAAAATGGGCAAATGACCTAACAGTCAGTTCCTTAGAGAGGAAATATAAATGCTCCCAAATGTGAAAAGATGGTTAACTGTACCAGTAATCATGCAAATGAAAATTAACAGTGAGACACCAGTATTATCACAATACATTGAAAAAAATTGAAACGTGCCAGTTATGGTGAGAAAAAATTAATATTCCTATATAGTAATAGATATAGTATATATAATATATATAGTAATATATATAGGAATATTAATTTCTATTAATTAATATGTGTGACAGTATTTTTCTTTTTGAGACGGAGTTTTACTCTTGTTACCCAGGCTGGAGTGCAATGGCACAACCTTGGCCTACTGCAAACTCCACCCGCCAGGTTCAAGTAGTTCTCTTGTCTCAGCCTCCCGAGTAGCTGGGATTACAGGCACCTGCCACCACGCTTGGCTAATTTTGTATTTTTAGTAGAGACAATGTTTCACCATGTTGGCCAGGCTGGTCTCCAACTCCTGACCTCAGGTGATCTGCCCACCTCAGCCTCCCAAAGTGCTAGGATTAGAGGCGTGAGCCACTGCATCCGGCCATGGCAGTATTATATATAACATACGTATACTAAGTGTGGAAGTAGAATGGTAGCTTTTTGGAATGCCAATTTGGCATTATCTATTAATATTTAAAATGAGCATACTACCTCTCAAATGAGCAAATTTACTTCTTCTTGTCCACCCTAACAAACCCTTATACATGTTTTATAGGAAACATGTTCAAGGTTATCCCTTACAGTATTGTTTGTCATGGCAAAATAATTAAAAACATCATAAATGTCTATCCATATTTAGTAATTAAATGTCAACCACTGTTGCAGAGACAACTGTCTTCCAACCTTGAGATTCTGGATTTTATTTCACGGTATGTCAGAAGACAATTCCAAACTTGCGATTCTTTGACTCTAAGTTTTCTATTGTAACTTAAAAGGCAGTTTGGTTAAATTTTAGATCCAGCAGCAGAATGACATGCTGTGTTATAATAAAAGTATTTAATCAAACAACATTTTTAATTAAGAAACTGTGCAGGGTGCTAGAGGCAAACTTTAAAAAAAAAAAAAAAAGAGGATGGAGCACTTTCTTCAGAGATCTTACAATCCGTAGAATAAAATTCAATATATGAGTGGGTGCTAACATAAGTGACAAGGGAGTACCACTTCCTGAAGATGTACCAAGAACGGATGATGGGTCATTGAAGGCAGTAGTATCCAGTGAGACCTACAGGTAGGAAGGCAAATTTATTTAGTCACTTAACAGATATGTATTAAGAATCTGTTATAGGACAGGAACTATGGTAGGCATCTGGCTCTAATGTTGAAACAGGAAAGACATGTCCTGGAAGGATGAATAACAATTGGATATTCGGAAAAGAATAGGAAAGCATTCCAAATTAGAAGTGCACAAATAAGTAAAATACATGGGTGTGAGAATGAGTAGAATGTACATATGGGGTAGGAGGATACTACCACTTCAATAAGAGCAGGGTGTAGTGGGAAATAAATTGGCTAAGAAAAATAAGATTGGATTATTCAAAGGCTTAAATTGTCAGATAGAAGAAATTAAAAGAAACTTTACTGAGTGCCTAGCAAATGTCAAGCACTTTCACATCCATGATCTCATTTATTTCTGAGAATAACTCTTCCCACTCCCCACCCACGACTGTGCAATTCAAAGAAAAACAAAACACAACAATGTTTTACCTGTTCATGGGGATGTTGGCATGGAGTGAGTAAAACATGATGGAAGATTTGGAGCTTGAGAAAGTGATGATCCCCTTGACAGGGGCAGAATATTGGAGAAAGGAAGGTGACTTGGGAGGGGGCACATGAGAAATAATGATTTAGTTTGTGGGGACATTGGGACTTAGAAATGACAGGAATATATTCAGGCCACCTTGCTGCCTATTTAATCATATTTCAGCCACTTCAACTAGTGACAACAAAACAAGTAGTTTGAGTATTTCCACTCTTCATCACAACCCTAAGTGGAAACTTTCTATCTATTGCAAAATTTCAGCCTTTCAACTAAAGTCACTGTGTGTCTCTAAGCTTAAAAGCTTTAGTGCCCTATTTCTAGAGGACATAATCACATCTTAAAATCACCATTAACAAAGCCTTCATACTTTGTATGAATAGAATTAACTAAGTCAATATATCCATTATACATTTTAGTTCATACATTTGAGCAAGCAAGAAATACAACAGTTTTTTCAACATTGGAATGTAATTTCTGTTTAATGTCAAGCTAATACATTTAATGTCGAGCTATTGTAGTGTTAATTTCTCTTTACCACCTCTCTAGCTCTCTCCCTACTCCTAGTCCAGGGAATGTTTTCTCATTTTGGGAAGAGAGCACAGAAAGCCTTGCAGTTACTTTGATGTTATATCCCAGTTATTCTACATTTATTCTGTTGTCCAGATTGTAAGTCCTTTCTTTTCCTCCAACAGCCAAGAAAATTCGTTTCTTTCTACCACATCATTATTTTTTTCTGAAGCAATGAGCAACTCACTGACTAAATTGGGAAAAGGCCACAGGTACAGAGAAGTACCAAGAAAAACCATCAGTTAATATTGTCATCAGTTAATATGTTCCACCGCATACTCTCATTTATAATTTGCATTTCTCCAAAATTATTTCTCACCTAATGAAGAATTAATCATAAGAATAACATTTATTAGGCACTTGCTATGCGCTAGGCACTGTGCCAGGCACTGTGCCAGGCACATTGCATCAATTATTCAACTATCCTTCAAGGTTGCTGTTAAGCTCTTTACTTGTATCTACAGGAGGTAATTAGGCTTCTGGAAGGAATATTCTCAGCAAAGCTGAGTTATTTGGCCTTCTCTACTCAGTTAAACTTCATAAAAATTAAAATAAGTAACGGAACTATTCCAGAAAAGAATAAATAAAAACCTAGTCCCCAGTAACTTTAGTTTTTATGGAAATTTTGCTATCTTTGCACTTGAAGAAGGAAATGATGAGGAAGAGAGAATAAAAGACTACGAAATATCTTTTCAAGACACTGACACTAAATTACAGACTTTCAGAACATCTACTATATTTTAATTTATATAACTAAGCCATTAGCCTATTACCAAATATATAAAAATACATCAAAATGTATTTGTATTTAGAGACCTTGAAATATCCAGGTTTGGTCTAATTATGTAGAAATAATGATTGTAAATCATTTCTGTTAAGAGAGGAATGGAATAGCTCCCTTCTATCCCTCATATATATGCAATTCTTGCTGTATGGATGTTACAATTATTATATGACTGAGATGGCTCTCTAGGGAACCAAGGTGTTCTCAGAGCATAGAGGTTGGGGGGCAATAATACCCGTCACCCTCTTCATTTCACAGCTCTGGAGAAGAGAAAAGCTGTGTCCTTCAGAATGGGAAGAGCTTAGGTGAGTGGCAGTTAGAATTTGTATTCCTGCCCTTAATGCCAGACAGAACCAGTTGTTAAGGAAAGTTGCCCCCATATGGTTGAAAGTAAGATGGCACTCCCCTTGCAAGTAGGGAAAGGTTCTTGTGAAATTCTACCAGGAAAAGAAATGAGCTGGGACCAGGCAGAAGGCAGTTGAGATATTATAACCAGAGATCTGTCAGTGTATATAGGACTGTATCTGTGCCTTTTAAATATTTTTTCTTCTTTCTTGAATTACTAAATCTGTTTTGAAAATGCCAGTCAGTTTTACATGTGGTAAGGGGAACCAAGAAAAGAGGTTTCAAGGAAAAGGGGGTAGGAGCAGTGATCAGAGCAAGAAAAAGCCAGAGAGAAAGTAAAGTTCAGCAGGAGCTGCTTCTTCCATGGCTTACAAAGTGTAGCTTCTTCACTTTATTTCAGTAAGGGAAGTACTTTTCTCACAGATGCTAATGCTACTTCCTTTAAAAAGATAGGTTTTGGCTGGGCACAGTGGCTGGCTCCTGTAATCCCAGCACTTTGGGAGGCCGAGGCGGGTGGATCACGAGGTCAGGAGTTCAAGACCAGCCTGGTCAATATGGTGAAACCCCCATCTCTACTAAAAATACAAAAATTAGCTGGGCATGGTAGCCCGTGCCTATAGTTCCAGCTACTCAGGAGGCTGAGGTAGAAGAATCGCTTGAACCCAGGAGGCAGAGATTGCAGCGAGCTGAGATTGTGCCACTGCACTCCAGCCTGGGTGACAGAGCAAGATTCCATCTCAAAAAAAAAAAAAAAAAAAAGACAGGTCTCTGGTAACAGAGAAAGAGAGAGGAACTTACATTTGTTATTAAAGTGCCATGTATTTAATAAAACACCAAACAATTTAAACTTTGATTCTATTCTGTCTTCACACTTACTCCAAAAGGTAGGAACAGTATTTCTATTCCCATTTTATAGAAAACTGAGGCTCAGGGAGGTAAAATAACTTAGTAATTTATCCAACTTCTTCACATGGTTAAATAAGAAAATATGAAATGACTATTTCTAAGCATCATTTGGTGGCCAGGCGCAGTGGCTCACACCTGTAATCCCAGCACTTTGGGAGGCCGGGGTGGGTGGATTGCCTGAGGTCAGGAGTTTGTAACCAACCTGGCCCACACAGTGAAACCTCGTCTCTACTAAAAAATAGAAAAATTAGCTGGGTGTGGTAATGGGCGCCTGTAATTCCTGCTACTCAAGAGGCTGAGGCAGGAGAATCGCTTGAACCTAGGAGGCAGAGGTTGCAGTGAGCTGAGATTGTGCCGTTGCACTCCAGCCTGGGCGACAGAGCGAAACTCCGCCTCAAAAAATAAGAAAGAAGAAAGAAGAGGAAGAAGAAGAAGAAGAGGCAAGAAGGAAGAAGAAGAAGAAAACAAACACCAATTGATGATGTCCAAAAATAAGC
Organism: Homo sapiens; assembly: GCF_000001405.40. Lineage (NCBI taxonomy): Eukaryota > Metazoa > Chordata > Mammalia > Primates > Hominidae > Homo > Homo sapiens. The sequence continues at coordinate 179,844 of NW_025791811.1, read as the reverse complement.
ATCTCACAAATTAAACTAATAAAGAACCTAGAGTCATACATGCGTACCTTGTTTTCTTGCCCTTCACTTTATAGCACTTCACAGATGCTGCATTTTTTATAATTTGAAGGTTTGTGGCAACCCTGTGTTGAGCAAGTCTATCGGCACCATTTTCCCAACAGCATATGCACATTTCGTGTCTCTGTCACATGTGGTAATTCTCATAATATTCCAAAAGTTTTCTTTATTATTGTATCTCTTACGGTGGTCTGTGATCAGTGATTTTTTTTTTTTTTTTTTGAGACAGAATCTTGCTCTTGTCACCCAAGCTGGAGTGCAGTGGTGGTGCAACTTCGGCTCACTGTAACCTCCGCCTCCCAGGTTCAAGCGATTCTCCTGCCTCAGCCTCCCGAGTAGCTGGGACTACAGGCGCATGCCACCACACCCAGCTAATTTTTGTGTTTTTAGTAGAGATGGGGTTTCACCATGTTGGCCAGGATGGTCTTGATCTCTTGACCTCGTGATCTGCCCGCCTCTGCTTCCCAAAGTGCTGGGGTTACAGGCGTGAGCCACTGTGCCCGACCAAAGACTTGTAGGTTTTTAAGGAGATGGGTGTCTTGATGAAAACAGTACTTAGGGAAAATTATTCTAAGGGTAGACGGAAATTAGATTAAAATGAGAACAATTATAATTAAATATATTAGGAGGCTATTGTATGAATGCAGGCATGAAATGACTGGGTCTGATTTACGCTGTGCTTTCCTCAGAAAACTAAGTACTCACCCAACAAAAATCCCATTGGGAGAATTTTCTCTGGGCCCTTGTAGTGCAAATCATCTCTCTTCTTCTATGTATCACCAGTTTTCTCCCCATTTCTGGTACTTACTGTCTGCACACTTCTAGTCATTTATTCCCAGCCTGACCTGCTCTCGAAACTTAGTCCCAGGTTTTAGAATCATCCTCGTTGCCAGGTTGACCTCTTACTATTTGTCTCACCTCTGTCAGCCTGAATGAGTGTCTTCTCTGGATTCTCCTGTTACCTGTGTTTTTCTGCTTTCCATTCATCACAGTGTGATTCCCAGGGCTTTACTTCTTAAGTGGCAGCCTATGTGGGAATCAGTATCCCTTCCTACTTCCTGACCTCCTGCACCCACAGCTGTCCACTCCAAACTCCCCACTGGCCCAGCTCAACCCTCACATCATGCCAGAGAGAAGAGGTGAGGACTGAGCACTGAGAAATACAAAATCATTAGGAGACTCAAAACAAAAGAGAAACTCTCAAATAGGGGGTTAGAAGGAAGAAGGATATCGGAGATAGTATAACGTCACAGAAGCTGGTGTACAACAGCGTCTAAAAAGAAAGACTGTAAAGCTAAGCAAATATGTCTGGGGGAAGATGTCATTGAATGAGACAAGAAAAAGAGGTCATTACTGGCCTTTGAGAAAGAAGTTATCTATGTGAAAAGGTTAAAAGCTAGATTTCAAGAATGTAAAGTAGGAAAAAAAAAGACTATTAAGAAGCAGAGATGGCCGCCAGCACTTTGGAAAGCCGAGGCGCATGGATCACCTGAGGTCTCGGGAGCTTGAGACCAGCCTGGCCAACATGGAGAAACCCCGTCTCTACTAAAAATACAAAATTAGCCAGGGGTGGTGGTGCATGCCTGTAATCCCAGCTACTCCGGAGGCTGAGGCAGGAGAATCGCTTGAACCAGGGAGGCGGAGGTTGCGGTGAGCTGAGATTGCGCCATTGCACTCCAGCCTGGGCAACAAGAGCGAAACTCTGTCTCAGAAAAAAAAAAAAAAAAAAAATGAAGAGATAGCAGATAGCAGAGCACACCACACATTTACAATGTGCTCAACGAAAAAGGGCAGGTTGCATTTGGGGGTGGGGTGGGGTGGGGTCCTTGGGCTGGCTCTTCCTATGCTGACAATTTCTTACACAAAAGCAAGGATTGCAAAGACTCCAAATTCAAACTTGGCCTCCCAGGTTTTTAATAAAGATATATTTGACAAAATAGGGGGATAGAACATATTTTCTTTGACTGTTAGCTTGATTGATGACATTTAAATATTTAGACATACAGGCCGGGTGCAGTGGCTCATGCCTGTAACCCCAACACTTTGGGAGGCCGAGGCGGGTGGATCATGAGGTCAGGAGTTCAAGACCAGCCTGGCCAACATGGTGAACCCCCATCTGTAAGAAAAATACAAAAAAAAATTAGCTGGGAGTGGTGGCACGTGCCTGTAATCCCAACTACTCGGGAGGCTGAAGCAGGAGAATCGCTTGGACCCAGGAGGCAGAGGTTGTAGAGAGCTGAGATGGTGCCTTTGCACTCCAGCCTGGGTGACAGAGCAAAAGTCCATCTCAAGGAAAAAAATATATATATTTAGGCATATAGAAGGTGGACTGCCGTTTGTATTCCTACTCTAGGGTGTGCAAATATTAGGGTCAGGCCTCTGGTAACAAGGGTGAAGTTAGGGGAAAATGGTTTTTTTGCTTTTTAATTGTTATTCTCATTTTTATTTTTATTTTTTATTTTTGATATGGAGTCTCACTCTGTTTCCCAGGCTGGAGTACAGCGGTTCAATCTCAGCTCACTGCAGCCTCTACCTCCCGGGTCCAAGCAATTCTCCTGCCTCAGCCCCCCGAATAGCTGGGACTACAAGCATATGCCACTACGCCTGCCTAATTTTTGTATTTTTAGTAGAGACGGGTTTCACCATGTTGGCCAGGCTGGTCTCGAACTCCTGACCTCAGGTGATCTGCCCACCTCGGCCTCCCAAAGTGCTGGGATTCCAGGCGTGAGCCACCGCACCTGGCCTATTGTTACTCTGATTTTTTTTTTTTTTTTTTTTTTTTTTTTTGCTGCTCCAGATTGTTTAGATTGGGAAACTGCCAAATATTTCAAGGAAATGAGAAAGAATATAAGAGAGAATGAGAAGTCAAGATATTGGCTAGCAAGGGTTGATGAACAGAACAATAGTCCGTGGAAGTTAAGTAGGTGAGTGAACTGAATGGAGTTAGACAACACCAGGGACAAAAAGGAGGTGAGTCTACACTAGAGAAATAAATGGTGAAGCCAGGAGTTAAAGCATTTTGAAACTCTCATGAGAAATTAGATCTGGTAAGAACTATAATAGAGAGTTTTTTTTTATATTTTCTTCTTCTTCTTCCTCTTCTTTTTTTTTTTGAGATGGAGTCTTGCTCTGCTGCCTAGGCTGGAGTGCAGTGGCGTGATCTTGGCTCACTGGAACTCTGCCTCCAGGGTTCAAGCAATTCTCCCGCCTCAGCCTCCCAAGTAGCTGGGATTATAGGTGCATGCCACCATGCCCAGCTAATTTTTGTATATTTTTTAGCAGAGATGGGATTTCACCATGTTGGCCAGGTGGGTCTTGAGCTTCTGACCTTGTGATCTGCCTGCCTCAGGCTCCCAAAGTGCTGGGATTACAGGCATGAGCCATTGTGCCTGGTCGATATTTTATTCTTCTAATCCTTTTCTCAATGCTAGGACTATATTCTGTATGATTTATTTTGTCATTAGTTATTGGTCTACCTTAGCTTCAGAGAATTGAGATTTTTGAATCAAGAAGTCCTAATAGGCTGAAAACACAGAATCATTTCAGTTGTCAATTGCTGCATTAACAACCCAAAACTTAGTGAGTTCAAACAACAATGATTTATTACTCCTCATAATCTCATAATTCTGTGTGTTGATTGGGTGGCTTTTCACTGATCTCATCTGGACTCACTCTCATGCAGTTTCATGCAGCTGGTGGTCAGCAGAGACAGCTGGGATGGCTGGGCCTCTCTGTCCACATGGTCTATTATTCCTTGCTTCTTCAGGACATGGTGGTCTCACAGCATTGCCCCAGGAAGGTAAAGGAGGCTGCAAGGCCTAAGGACTAGCCTTGGAATTTGAAGTGTCATCTGCCACATTTCAGTTGGTCAAAGAAAGTCAAAACGGCAGCCCAGACATAAGGAGTGGGAAAAAATAATCTCCATCTCCTGATGGGAGGACTGGGCAAAGTCACACTGCAAAGCGATGTGAATACAAGGAGTTGTGATTCCCTGGGGGCCATTGTTGTAACAATCTACAATAGTCCACCCTTAGGCCTCAACGATTCATGTCTCTTTCATGAATCTCATCCTCCCAAAATTGCCCAGGTCTCACTTTATCATATCATCAAGCTCGGAATCCATCATCTCATGGTCTGTATGAAGTCAAGATGTCGATGAAGTTCCTTAGGTATAGTTCTTTAATTCAGGCACCTGTAAACTAAAAAGACAAGTTATTCCCCTATGCCTTCACATACCCAATGTACACTGGAAAGACAGCAAAACTATATTAGACACTGCTGTCCCAAAAGGAGAGATATACTAGTCACTGGTCCATGGCAATTTGGAAATCTAGCCAGGTGCATGTTGGAAGATTCCTCTACTACAGAGACAGGCAATGTTTATTAATTAGGGCCCAGTTCTACCCTCCGGAAGTGGTTCCTTAATATATTGTTCTATTTGGCTCTTGGCAATACCCTCTGGGCTTGGCTCTGCCTTCTGAGTCGTCCTTCCTTTTACATAAGAAATGGCCCATGTTTGTGACTGAGTAGCTTTCTCATGCTGTCTCCTATTCCTAGAAAGATGGAGGCCCAGAGGCCTCTTCTCATTTTGAACTGTCTCAATTTCTTTTAACCCAAGCTAGTGGCTTTTGTTCAACACAACACTTTTAAAAACCTTATAAGTCTTCTATGAATCCGATGGGCTTCCCCTCCATGCCCCAAAAACCACATGGACAATTCTTTTGGAGGCAGTAGGCTGTAGTGCTAGCTTCTTCCCTACCACTTCAAAATTCTTCTATCTCAGTGGAAGGGGAGGAGTAAATCAAAGCTGTAGTGTGCATAGGATGGTGTGTTTCATGTTATGTAAATTGATATGTCCCATAAAATGTTCTGCATAAATCAGATTTTTGTTTTTTAAAAAAATGGAGTTGATGTCATTACAGAAATTTGCCACTTAAAATCAACCTATTGTGAATCCTTTGGTAAGGTTTGAAGTGGCAATGGTGTAGAAAGAAGAGCTCTGGAGTCAGACCTGCATTTGAATCCCACTCTGCCCTGTGACCTTGGACAACTGACTTATTCTCACTTGGTGAGAACACAGATATTCTGTGCTTGCTATTTTGGTGGGTTGTTATGGAGATTGAAGATAAAGTATCTAAAGAATCTAGCATATAATAAATTACAGTTAGAGCTATAATTCTAGAGCTGAATGAAACTTTAGTCCCCTTCCAAGGCTAACTCTACATCAGACATTTTTGATGGTGTACGCTATTATATATATTTATTTATTCATGATGATAATGAACTACTGATCTATTATGTGCATTATGAAACATATCCCTAAAATAGAGATAATGAAGGAGATTTTTTAAAGCCTCAGGCAAGTAGATCTAATATTTTCTTCCTGTACCCGGTAGATTGTGGTTTTTTACAGGGAGTGCTTGAATTTGTGGGAATTTCAGCATCCTGTAGGGGAAGTGATAAAACAGTGGTGCAGATCTCTAGCAATCACCAATGTTTCTCAAGTGGTACGAAACAAGCTACTCTAAAGTATTATGGGACACATTATTTGTAACAGAATGTTTTCCCTAGTAGCCAATGGAAGCTTCTTTTTCTTTAGGTAAAAAATCTAAAAGCCTGAAATTTAGAAAATAAACACCCTTGTCGTAAGTTTCAAAAGTGTTTTGGCTTGCACATCTTCTGCTGGAAATAATGAACAATTGCTGTTGTCTTCATGTTATGTTTTAAGCTACTGAATAGTTAATTCCTTCAGTTATATGCTTATGCTTCCTTCCATTTCCCTAATTCTTTTATCTACACTTATCCTACTTTCGATGACTGCTTTTAGCCCTGTAATTTTCATGTTACTCTTTGACCACTGACAGTTTGATTTTCTGGACCAGTGTATAATATAAACTTCACTCCATTTAATATCTATAATTTTCTCCTCTCACTCAAATACACATGACAGTTTGTACTTCTGTGTCTGTACGTTCTGTACATACTAACTCTAATTTTATTCTGTGTACTTTGGGGAATATAATAATGGGAATCTACCAAATCACATTGCTTTTTCTAGTTTACTTTTTCTAGTTGTGATAATGGAGTTTAAAAACTGCTAGACATTTTATGTGACTATAATATCAGTCACAATGTCTGATTTCTAATACACAAATATAATTAGGCTAAGGAATTTTCTTTGAAAGATACTATAATTGAGAGATGTCACATTACAGGCAAAGCATTAATAAGTGCTAGTAACATGAATTCTCTAATTATGCTTTACTTGCCATAGTCCCTTTTAAACTACTAATGCATTAGGTTGGTGCAAAAGTAATTGTGGTTTTGGGCTGTGAATTTAAAATAATTATAACTAGGCTCAAACACATCTTTGTTAATCAAAATAAGAACCATTGCAATCAACACATTTTTGCCAAGGAGAAATAAGTTTGTTTATTCCCATAGTGTAAAAATCCATGCTTCAGGATTCGACAAACTCTTGGAAAGCATTTTCTGAATCTTGCTGGTTGTAGAGGCATTTTCCCTGCAAAAAGTTGTCAAGATGTTTGAAGAAGTGGTAGTCGGTTGGCGACAGGTCAGGTGAATATGGCGGATGAGACAAAACTTCAAAGCCTAATTCGTTTGACTTTTGAAGCTTTGGTTGTACGACGAGCGGTCAGGCCTTGTCCTGGAGAAGAATTGGGCCCTTTCTGTTGACCAATGCTGGCTCAGGCGTTGCAGTTTTCGGTGCATCTCTTCAATTTGCTGAGCATACTTCTCAGATGTCATGGTTTCACTGGGATTCAGAAAGCTGTAGTGGATGAGACCGGCAGCAGACCACCAAACAGTGACCATGACCATTTTTGGGTGCAAGTTTGGCTTTGGGAAGTGCTTTGGAGCTTCTTCCTGGTCCAACCACTGAGCTGGTCATCACTGGTTGTCATATAAAATCCCCTTTTCGTTGCCCATCACAATCCAATCGAGAAATGTTCGTTGTTAAGAAAAGAGGACACATTAAAATGATGATTTTTCAAATCTTCGTTCAGCTCATGAGGCACCCACTTATCAAGCTTTTTCATCTTTCCAATTTGCTTCAAATGCCGAACAACCATAGAATGGTCGACGTTAAGTTCTTTGGCAACTTCCCATGTAGTTTTAACAGGATCAGCTTTAATGACTGCTCTCAACTGGTCGTTGTCAATTTCCGATGGCCGCCCACTATGCTCCTCATCTTCAAGGCTCTTGTCTTCTTTGCAAAACTTTTTTTTTTTTTTTTTGAGACAGAGTCTCGCTCTGTCGCCCAGGCTGGAGTGCAGTGGGTCGATCTCAGCTCACTGCAAGCTCTGCCTCCTGGGTAGCTCCCAAGTAGCTGGGACTACAGGCGCCTGCCACCACACCCGGCTAACTTTTTTTTTTTTTGTATTTTTAGTAGAGATGGGCTTTCAGTGTGTTAGCCAGGATGGTCTCGATCTCCTGACCTCGTGATCTGACCACCTCGGCCTCCCAAAGTGCTGGGATTACAGGCGTGAGCCACCGCGCCCAGACCTCCTATGCAGAACTTCTTGAACCACCACTGCACTGTGCGTTCGTTAGCAGTTCCTGGGCCAAATGTGTTGTTGATGTGGCAGGTTGTCTTTGCTGCTTTACGACCCATTTTGAACTCAAATAAGAAAATCGCTCAAGTTTGCTTTTTGTCTAACATCATTCCATAGTCTAAAATAAACATAAAATAAACAGCAAGTAATAAGCAAAAAACATGAGGTGAGAAATGCCCATTAAAATGATGTGTAACATAACCACATTTATTTAAGTAGCGTATTCCAATATCAAACGGCAAATTCCAACAATGCAAAAACTGCAAGTACTTTTGCACTCACATGTAATATCCTCAAGGCATCTTAAATCCTTTAAAGAAGTAGGTTCCATATAATAATAATAATTTTATATACCTAACACTTATTAAAAACTGTGTATTAAGTACTGTGCTAAATATATAAACGATCTCATTTAATTATCATACCAATTAATGAAATAGTTACAAAATCAAGACTAGAATATAGGCCTGTTTGACTTAAAGCCAGATGGTAGACCATGAGGCTACATTGCCTCTGACGTTGAGTATTCATGGTCCCAATATAATCACTTGACAAACTTGGGATAAAGCTTTATTTATAATAATATTTAATAAAACTTATTCATATCTTGAACCTAAGGAACAATCCTAATGTATATAATAGTATCAGATATGTATCGTCTTTAAAAGAATTTGGTATGCCTTAGTAATGCCTTGCTTACCAGGCAGTTTTTGAATATTTATTTATTTAAGACAGGGTCTCGCTCTGTCACCCAGGCTTGAGTACAGTGGCGCAATTTCTGCTCACTGCAGCCTTGATTTCCCGGGCTCAATGATCCTCCCACCTAAGCCTCCTAAGTAGCTTGGATTTCAGGTGCATGCCACCATAGCTGGCTAATTTTTGCATTTTTTGTAGAGACAGGGTCTCACTATGTTGCCCAGGCTCGTCTCAAAACTCCTGGGCTCAAGGGAGCCGGCCACCTTGTCCTTCCAAAGTGTTGGGTTTACAGGTGTGAGCTGCCATACCCAGCCTAATTTTTATTTAGAATTTGCCAGTTATTTCTCTAATTTGACAGAGGACTAAATATGAATCAATCTGGGACCAGTTCCTATAAGGTCTAGATTACAAAGTAAACACAACAGATGTATAATTGTGAGGCTGCTGCCAAGTACTAAAGTTCACTGGTAAGTGAAATAATAAAACATCAAATTAATAAATACAATGGGCTGGGCGCAGCAGCTCACGCCTGTAATCCCAGCACTTTGGGAGGCTGAGGCAGGCAGATCACCTGAGGTCAGGAGTTCAAGACCAGCCTGGCTAACATGGCAAAAACACCACCTCCACTGAAAATAGAAAAATTAGCTGGGGGCAGTGGTGCATGTCTGTAACCCCAGCTACTTGGGAGGCTGAGGCATGAGAACTGCTTGAACACGGAGGCAGAGGTTATAGGGAGCCAATATCGTGCCACTACATCCAGCTTGGGTGACAGAGTGAGACTCTGTGTCCAAAAAAAAAAAAGTAGAAATAAATTAATTAATTAATAAATACTATGTCAGAAATAACATTAGAAAATTTATGACCTGTTCTTAAAAGCTTTTGACTTTTTGGAAATACAAAATTTTGACTATTTCATATTGGTTTGTGGTCAAATTCTTCAGCCTGTGAAATGTGAATGTATCACATATTTGCATTTTTTTTACTTCCCAAAACATATGATCATTTTTACAATGCATCAGATTTGTTTGTTTACAGCAATTGAAAATTTGTCAATCTTAGTAATGTAGTAAAGTTGAAACATCATGATGTGTTATCCTGTCATCTCACGTTTTCCGACTTGTTTCTCTAAGAAAGTGAAGAAATTTCAAGCACTGTGCAAAAATAAATATGCCAATGATTATGCATGTATTCTATATGATATATATATAGTCTTTATAAAAAAAAGTATTAAAATTGGTTCATTAAAAATTCATTGAAAGTTATTTTCTCAAATTTCAAAGCCTGGTATAATTATCAGTCTACATTTCTCAGATGTTTGTATCATTCAATTAATTTTCAGTATCTCTCTGACATATGGATGAGTCTATAAAAATATAAAATGTTATATTTCCTCTTCTATGTTTTAATAGCTTCTATTAATAGATGGCACTTATTTATATAGATACATTTAATTAAATACATTTCTAGCTCAGAAAGTTTTCCACTATTGTAATTAGCTCTATGATTTATAGAACTCTTTCATGTTATTAACTCAATTTCAGAATGCTTGATTAAAGTATATAGATTGTCTCTGGTGTCAAGTTCTAGCTTTACAAATTATCAGTGAAGGAATTATTTTTAACACATTATTAGGAACTCTAAATTATAAATTATTGTCAACAATTATTCTTAGAGTTCTAAAAGTTTTCTAGAAGTTTTTTTAACAATAAATTGTATTTAGTGAAATTTTAAAAAGAAAATGCTTTTAAATTTTATAAAAAAATTTTGTGTATTGCAGCTATCAAAGCAGAGGAACATAATAAAAGACAAAAGGAAAGAAATGTCACCACACAGGTAAATATTTTGCTAAATCTTTACATTTTTTAATAGAAAATTTAGGCTATAGGCACTAGTTTTTTCAGGATACTCAGAATTATTAACTATTGTCTCTTTTTTTTTTAATTCTCAATCAATATTATTCTTTCATTCATTCAACAAACATTTGCTTAGTCAACCGTGAGAGGATAAGACTGTCTTCAGGCCTGAGTCTTCTAAGTTGTGGACTGTCTGAGGTCCTAAATATTAGATTGGTGCAAAAGTAATTGTGGTTTTTGCCATTACTGTCAATGGTAAAAACTGCAATTACTTTTGCAAAATATTAAGACACAAAGAGCAGAGACCCACCTGGCTTATAAAGTCACAGATGCTTATTAAACGTTATCAATCTTATGATGTCTTTGCACATTTTGGAAGTAGGGGATTCAAATTTTCAGTTTATTCTCAACCCAGCAATGATTTACTCCTGTAAATATGTCAAGTAAAGAAGTGAATTTCCATCTCACACTGAATGAAACCAAAGCATTACAATGGCTTGCTTATTAGGCTCTATGGTCTTGCCCTCGTGGTTTTTTTTCTCTGATATCAGCTCCTACTACTGTCTTCTTGATGTTATTGCATATACACTGGACTCCATGCTGTTCCTCAAAAACCCCAGGCATGTGCCCCCCTTTCGTGTTCTCTCTGCTTGGAATACCTTTGCACCCAGATGTCCATAGGGCTCCCTTCCTTCACCTTCATCTTTTCAGAAGGTTCTTCCCTGGACCTTCTCTAAATTTACAATCACTCTCTAAAATTGCAAATCCTGTCAAACACCTTCTTCTATACCCCTTCCCTGCTGTATTTTTCTTCTCAAAATTATCACCATGCAACATACAGTATTTTATTATATTTGTTGTCACTCTCCCTCCACTAAAGTACAAACTCCATGAGAGCAAGGGTTTTGTTTGTGGTGTTCATTGCTGTTATCCCCAGCCAATAGAACAGTGCCTGGTACATAGCAGACACTCAATAAATGTTTATTGAATTAATGAGTAAATCTTAAATCTAAATGGAGGAAGTAAACTGAGAAATATTAATACAAATTAAAAACCCCTCTGTACATTGCAACCTTTTCTAAACCCCTCTGAATATAGCTCCTCTCTTATCACTATAACTACCACATCCCATAATTAGCAGTGGGATTGTTATTAGCAGAAATAGATGTGAGCTTCACCTAAATCTCAGTTTGTCTTCAGGCAAGTGGAGAATGAAGGAACATCCATTTCTTCAGGTCATCTTGCTTTCTCTTGTGGGCTCTTGGCATCTTGCAAGTCAGTGCCTGCTGAATAACACCTAAAATGGCCTTTGGAATCCTCTTACTGCTTGAGAACAAGGATGCTGCCCAGACCCATAAGCATCTACCCAATGCCCAGCATTAGAAGATGAGACCTCCAGAGTAAAGATGGGAATAGGCCCCTTCCAACCTTGTAAAGCCTGGGACAAAAGAAAACTAAGAACTATTCTAAGATATTTCAGAATATTAGAAAGTAAAACAAAACAAAACACAATACAAAACAAAACACTACCTTTGTGTCAAAGATTGGGGTAAATGTTCCAGGGTAGCCTGTTTGTAGATTGTATATCTCACTCAATTCCATTGGCCCAAGCACAGATGGCAGAAGTGAAAAGCCCAAAGTCTGCAAACACCTCTACTGCAAAGTGCCCATATATGCATGCTATCCTACAACCAGAATAGAGTATCCTCAGCTCACTGAACTTACCATAGTGTTACATGACTCCTTGGCAATGAGCAGGATACTATTTGGCTGAAAGCACCCTCTCTCCATCTCTACCCCCAATGTAGGCTTGGCAAATTCTGGTTATCTTCCATAATAATTACCATTTACATTATAATTTTAAAAACACACTCACCTAAGTGGAGCTGCTCTTTCCATAGTTTTTCTCTCTTTCTGGCTTTACGACTCTACAACTTCCAAAAAAAAAAGTCATCTACTCCTCCATTCCCCGACAAAAACTTTTTGAAAACACACATACACACATGAAAAAAATGTTTAAAGATAATTTGTCTTGTGTTAAGGATCTAATTTTTTCAGGAGTTCTGTGTGCTATTTCCTTCCACATTAAAGAATGATCCTGATTACAGAGGTAATAAACCCCCAGGTATGTAATGTACCATCGGGAAGTAACTGAGGCCCCCTAAGGGAGCAACTCAAGTATATGGCTGAGGGACCATTTTTGTTGTAGGACTTTCTCCTTAGTTCAGCTAAAAACAGGGTCCTTGTCACACGACCATGAAAAATTAGGCTTGCAGACACTTTGAAGGGCGAGAAGGGCAGGGTTTATTGGGTGAAAAGGAAAAAAGGTGGGGAAACAGGGACTTTCAGCAAAGCGAGAGAGTGTACTTCCTGCCAGTGGGCTCACAAATTAAATCCAGGTTACCAACCCCGGAATAGGAGAATCCAGACTCTTCCTCCCTGCAAATGGCAGGAACTTCCCAAGGATTCACCTCATTCACCCAGTATGCAGCCCAGTTGGAGTTTCTCCAGGGACCCTTTTACACCTGGCTGTCTCATTCCCCCCTCTGCAGAAGTACATCTAACTGCTGTTAAAATAAGGATAAGGATAAGGACGAAGACCGATCTTAACTGCTTCCTGCTGACAGGGGGCGCTGTTCTGGGGGAATGGCATTGGAGCTCCCTCAGAGGTCTAGCTAGCTAAGGGTACCCGGCAGAAAGGGCCATCCTCCAAAGCTCCAGTTGCATGACCATTTGGAGTTTGATAGCCTGAAGGTGAGAAGAGACAAACCAGGTTATTAGAAAACACGTATCAAAACGAGAAAAAAGGGATGGGTAAGGACACATCAAAAATCCCAAGGCCTTTTACCAGTTTGCACAGGGAGAGGGAGGCCAAAAGCCCGACTGTAAAAAAAACTTTTACCCTTTTGCCAGCATATCAAGCTTCTGGGTTCCCTTCCCCTGAGCCCAATCCTAAGCCAACCAGTCTAAGGTTTGGGAAATTAACTTTTCCCAGTTTGGAGGATGCATCTGACAGGAGTGTCCTGAGTACAGAGACAAAATTACCTATCAGTGAAGAGAGGAAAGAGGAGGAAAAAAGAAGGCTTTCACTGCAAGCCTCCCAGGTTTAAGCGATTCTCCCGCCTCAGCTTCCAGAGTAGTTGGGACTACAGGCACACGCCACCACACCCAGCTAATTTTTATATGTTTAATAGAGATGGGGTCTCACTATGTTGGCCAGGATGGTCTTGATCTTTTGACCTCGTGATCTGCCCGCCTTGGCCTCCCAAAGTGCTGGGATTACAGGCGTCCAGGCACCGCGCCCAGCCAAGGAGGCTTTTTTAAAAAAGGAGTCCCAGGGGTTCAGGATGCATTCAAAAGGGGTATAGATTGAAGATGAATGGCTACCCATCTAGAAAGACGGGAGCAGGCATCCCTGGTTCCCTTCTCTTCCTAGCAATACCTGGGGTATGTGAAGGAGAGAAGGAAGAGTGTCCTCTTTCCCTCTTCTGTCCTTGAATCATCAAGTCCCAGTGAACTTAGCAGGTGCCATCCATAGGTGCCAAAGTAGCTTGCACCCATGAAGCAGGGAGGGCCTAGATAATAGGAATTAGCTGCTCTCACCTATGTCTCTATCCCACCTACTATCAGTAGCCTTGGAGTTCCCTAGACCTCATTTATGCCATGGATACTAGCATGACCCTTATCCATGAAATGGGAGGCTTGGCTTTATTGGCAGGAATTAGCCCTGCTTACCTGCACTGTCTTTTAACCTCTGTTGTTGTCTGCCTCTGGATTCCTTAGATCCAGTTTTCTTTCCTAGGGCTTTGACCTGAAGCTTGGAATTGAGTTTGGGAAAAAATGTGTCTTGGTAGGGGTACATGGACTCCTTATCAGAAGCCAAATGCTGAGGTGAAGGTGTGGAATTGAATCCTCCTCCAACAAGGGAGAGAAAAGCATGTCTTGTGACATGCCCAAATAACTGGTGGCTATAGTTATGCTTGCTAAGATTTGGGTGCATGGTGCTTGGCTTTGGTTAGCTCCCTTGGTCTTCCTTTCCCAGAAAGGAAACCTCTGCGTGATGAGTATCCTGTTTATTTCCATCACCTGGCAGGATTTGCAGGATAATTGCTCAGAACTAGAATATTGATCCAGATTTTTACATTACCCATCCCTTTTGTTCTTTCTGAGCTGCAGCTGGAGATTGCTTGGTTGGTTGATTGATTGGTTGGTTCACAGGAACAAGCAGGGGTAGTCTAAAAATATAAACAAAAAAAACAACTAATGAGTTTAGAATTTAATGACAAATGTATGATGAGTTTTGAAATATAATTTCTCTCTCCAGTCCTCATTTTTGTTAAAAAACAATCATGATAGGACTGAGTTGTTTGCAAAACAGATTATTTGCATAAAGTACAGCAAGAATCACTATTTCTACATAGGCTAGATTTTAGTCTTTTTTTTTTTTTTTTTGAGACAGAGTCTTGCTCTGTTACCCAGGCTGGAGTGCAGTAGCGCGAGCTCAGCTCACTGCAAGCTCCGCCTCCTGGGTTCACGCCATTCTCCTGCCTCAGCCTCCCTAGTAGCTGGGACTACAGGCGCCCGCCACCACACCTGGCTAATTTTTTGTATTTTTAGTAGAGACGGGGTTCACCGTGTTAGCCAGGATGGTCTCGATCTCCTGACCTCATGATCCGCCCGCCTTGACCTCCCAAAGTGCTGGGATTACAGGCATGAGCCACCGCACCCAGCCTATTTTAGTCTTATCCTTGGCCTGATTATTTGCATAAAGTGCAGCAAGAATAACTATTTCTATATAGGCCTTTTAGACTGGATTTGATGGAACTCTGTTCCACAAGGAATCTTGGATAAGACCTTTTAACTCTAAGCCCAACCATCCTGAGCCCAACCACCCTCAAATACCTGTGAGTTGTGTGATCCTATCCTCTTAAGGTCCCAAGATAAACTTGGGACTCCTGGGCCTGTTAGAAAGTGACATTCTTTACTGACCACAGGTCAGGAACACTGTACAGGGACTGCATAAATGAGGGTATGAGATCAGTTTTTTTCTCCAGGGGGCTTTTATCAGCTCTGCAATCGAGCTTGGCTCCTTAAAGGGAATCATATCCTTTCAGTCAAAGCCTTGGTGAAACAACCAGTTTCTGCAATTGCGTCCTGCCGCAAAAGAAAAATGGATTCTCATTGCTCTGATGCAAATAACTATATTGCCATAAGTTAAAAATACTCACAGATAATTTCCGAATTCTAGAGGAACCTGGCAGAGAGACCAAACATGCTCCAAATTTTGTTCACAGGAGTATACCTTACTCAATTATTAAGGGCCATAAATAGTGCAAAATAAGTTTCCTTGACTCTGAAAAACAAAAGGATTGGCAATATTCCAAGCAAAAGTCAAAAAGATTGCTTCAGCTCTCTGAGTTTAGCCCATTTAGTTCTTGATTCACATCATATTCATGAACATTCAGCTCTTCATGAGTCCTGTACATTTTTCTTTATTCCAATGTTAAAATATCCAAAGTTATTAGAAGCCTGTATTTGAGAGTTCCTGCCAAAATTATATAGCTTATTATAAATCATATTTTGAAAAGGATTAAGACAAGACAATTGTCTGTGAATAACAAAATGTCTAGGGTAGTTACAGTTAGAAACACAATTGACAAAGAAGTTTGGTTATCTCCATGGTTTACAATAACTTAGCATAACAACCTTAATTATCATTGATAGCATATACTCAGACATTAAAATTTTAGCAATCCCATACAATTTTGGAACATGTATTAGCATTATTCATGAACATATAATCTAAAGAAGATTGAACATCAGTTTGGCAATCCCATGTCACTAAACAAGTCAAATCATCCTGTTTACCTCTCTTTTCTGGGCACTCCAGGGGCCCTCTGAAGTATCCAAAAGCTAGGTGTCAGGAAAGACAATTTTGAAACTGAAGTTTGATTTTGGGAAGCCTGTTAAATATGTTAGCAGTTTAAAACACTTGATGTTATGAAATAGAATTCCAGGTTGACATAAGTTATTTATTTTGCCAAAATGATGAGTCAGAAATTTTAAAGAAGCAAAAAACTTTTATAACCCTTTACAAATTTTGCCAAAGAGCATATCAGTGCCCCAACAGTGTCCTGTTGTGCTTTTATTCCAATGCTCAGCCCAGAGAAAAACCACACAATACCCCCCTTGAACCTAGTCAATATGTTCACACCTAGAACTTCTTCCGCAAGATGAATTTCCACAATCCTTCCACCATTTGTTTGAACCTTCAGCTTTATCCTATCTAATTTGAAACAATTCTTTAACCCTAGGCAAGAATTTACATTTTCATGCCTTTTTATAACCTTTTATTAAAGACACATTTTAGGGTGGGTACAGGTGTGAGCCACACCTGTAATCCCAGCACTTTTGGAGGTAGAGGTGGGCAGATCACTTGAGGTCAGGAGTTTGAGACCAGGCTGGCCAATGTGGCAAAACCCCATCTCTACCAAAAATACAAAAATTAGCCAGGTGTGATGGCATGCACCTGTAATCCCAGCTACTTGTGAGGCTGAGGCATGAGAATCACTTGAACCTGGGAGGCAGAGGTTGCAGTGAGCTGAGATTGTGCCACTGCACTCCAGCCTGGGTGACACAGTGAAACTATGTCTTAAAAAAAAAAAAAAAAAAAAACCAGGCCAGGTGCAGTGGCTCACACCTGTAATCTCAGCATTTGAGAGGCCAAGGCGGACGGATCACGAGGTCAGGAGATCGAGACGATCCTGGCTAACATGGTGAAACCCCGTCTCTATTAAAAATACAAAAAATTAGCCGGGCATGGTGGGTGCCTGTAGTCCCAGCTACTCGGGAGGCTGAGGCAGGAGAATGGCATGAACCAGAGGCAGAGCTTGCAGTGAGCCAAGATCGTATCACTGCACTCCAGGATGGGTGACAGAGTGAGACTCTGTCTCAAAAAAAAAAAAAAATTATTTTTCTTACACACCTCACATGTAAATCTATTTCCAGTAGTTTCAATTACATGTCATAATGGTAACTTTTAGCAATTTTTAACTTTAACATAAAACCTGGTAAGTTGTTTTAATTGTGTGCTAGGTGCAACCAAGGTTTGATTCCTTCTAGCATTAATTAAGGGCATGGTTAGTTCCATATGTCCCCAGGCCTTACCAGTTGTGGAGCAGACAAGTCAAATAGTTCTCAAAACCCAAAAGGCAGTTTATAACCGTAAAACATTTAACAAGCCTTGCCTGTGACCTGCATCATTTAGTCCAAAATATTTATATTTTGATGACATTTGCTTTTTACCAATAATCTTTAAGGCTGTTTTTATTTCTCAAAGATTAAAGTCACATGAACTGAAAGTTACCACAGCTTTTATCTTCTCTTTAAAAAATATTTGATCCAAGTGCTTGTCTTCCTTTAGGCCAAATTAACTAGAGGTCTTTTTACAGACATCACATACACAACACATACAGAGCTACAAAGACAGGCAGAAGAAAACTCAGCCACCAGGTGGAGCCCTGTAAGAGACAGGGCTAGGAAAACATGCAGATGTCAAACCAGAAAGGACTCATTCCCTAAGGCAGGATTGCTAAACAAAGCTTTGCCGTGGGGTTACAGGCCATACCCCCAGGATATAAAACAAGATGGAGGCCTGCTGCAAAGTTTGCTGTGGAAAGACATGCAAAGTACACCAGATGGGCTACAGCTTAAAACTAGCCTCACAAATCCTCTGTCACAATTAAAACTCTACAGAAAATATAAACAGTGATAGTTGGGAAAACAGTAAAATGTTTTCCAAAAGGAAAAAAAAAAGTAATTAAAAGTTAACTGCTGATAGGGTAGAGAAGAAAAAGGATGCCAGTGGGGAAGAGCTTCTTATTTTTATGCAAATAGTTCCTCCACCAGAGAGAAGCATCGCAGTGGGACAAAGTTGGACTTCCTGGTTGGGGAGTGGAGACTACATGGGTGCATGGTAGGGAAGGCCAGCCAGCTGCATGGGGCCCCTTGGCCACTGGACACCACACACACATGCAGCAGATACGTCCGTGCACCTCAGCTAGTAGAAAAGGGCGAGCAGGGAGCTGCCCCATCTAACCATCCTCCCAGTGTGCCTGTGGCCATTGGGATGGGTGTGGCCTATATCCAGTATTGTAAAAGAAAAGATAGGTGCTATTACTGTCCTGAAAATAAGAAGAGGAATGCCATAGGACCAGAAGGCTCGGAAGCAACAGCGAGAGGTTTTGAGTTGCCATTTCACTCACCCTTCCTTGAACCCCATGTTGGGCACCAAAGCTGTTATAGGACTTTCTGCTTAATTCAACTAAAAATGGGCTCCTTGTAATGACCATGAAAAATTAGGCTCACAGACACTTTGAAGGGTGAGAAGGGTAGGGTTTATTGGGTGAAAAGAGAAAAAAAAAGGGGGAAACAGGGACTCTCAGCAAAGTGAGAGAGTGTGCTTCCTGCCAGTGGGCTCACAGATTGAATCCCAGGTTACTAATCCCCGAACAGGAGAGGCCAGGCTCCTCCCCGCTGCAAACCAGCATGAACTTCCCGAGGCTCCACCCCATTCTCCCAGTGTGCAGGTTGGTTGGAGTTTCTCTGGGGACCCCTTTATGAGTTTGTCTCCTGACAGCCATCACCACCATGAGCATCAGTGAAAGCTCTGAAAACAAGGAAAAAGTCACCTGGCTCTCAGCACTCAGCAGTTTCACCAGAGTGTTCAGTTCCATCTCTTCTTCAGTTTAACAGACACAATCTTTTTGTTTTGAGATTAACATCTTTGTCCAATAGATAATTAATTTGACTAATAAATAGGATATTTCAGTTCTGGTAAGTTTTAATTCTTTGATACTATCTGAGCAGCCTGAGGGGCTGTTTCCTGAGAAAGGAACCTGGTAGTAAAGATAGCCTCAAGATTTCACTTACATTGTCATATTGGGCATTTAGTATAAAATTTAGACACCTTATGTTATTATATTCAGAATTTATATTCAATATCATATCCTTACAGTTATATAACAAACTTTATAAAAACCCTTCATATATACCATTTATTCCTCCTAACATCTTTGTGAAGGATGTTAATTGGTTATTTAAATGGTTAATTATTATCCTCCATTTTGCATATTAGAATAAAAAAGCCCATTCTGATTTAAGAGAACTTAGTATTACAAATTATCAATATATTCATTCATGCAACACAATGCTTACAATGTACCCTACACAGTTACTGGAATTTGGAATTTCCAAAAGGTTCTAAATGTGGTTTTTTTGCTTTGTGAAACCTCTGTTTGATATTACTTAAACTTGATTGTGAGCTTCTGACAGGGAAGACAGTATGTTGTCATCTTTTTTAGTGTGATGCTTTGCATGTGGTAGATATAGTAAAGGTTTACAGGTGTAATTAAATACACCTACTACCATATATTCAAGACTTGGCTATAAAATGTATGGATTCTCCATCCCTGAGATGTTTATTTTCTTTCTTT
This sequence comes from Homo sapiens, assembly GCF_000001405.40. Taxonomy (NCBI): domain Eukaryota; kingdom Metazoa; phylum Chordata; class Mammalia; order Primates; family Hominidae; genus Homo; species Homo sapiens. The sequence goes on along the minus strand of NW_025791811.1, from coordinate 160,170 downwards.
TTTTCTTTTTTTTTTTGAGACAGAGTCTCACTCTAGTCACCCAGGCTGGAGTGCAGTGGCATGATCTCGGCTCACTGCAACCTCCACCTCCCGGATTCAAGAGATTCTCCTGCCTCAGCCTCCCCAGGCTGGGACTGTAGGTGCGTGACACCATGCCCAGCTAATTTTTTGTATTTTTAGTAGAGACGGGGTTTCACTGTGTTTCGATCTCCTGACCTCGTGATCCATCTGCCTTGGCCTCCCAAAGTGCTGGGATTACAGGAGTGAGCAAATACACTGTATTTTCTTTCTAATCAGTATTTTCTTTATTTCTTTCTTTCTTTTTTTTTTTTTTTTTTTTTTTGAGACGGAGTCTCGCTCTGTCGCCCAGGCTGGAGTGCAGTGGCGCTATCTCGGCTCACTGCAAGCTCCGCCTCCCAGATTCACGCCATTCTCCTGCCTCAGCCTCCCGAGTAGCTGGGACTATAGGCGCCCGCCACCACACCCGGCTAATTTTTTTGTATTTTTAGTAGAGATGGGGTTTCACCGTGTTAGCCAGGATGGTCTCGATCTCCTGACCTTGTGATCCGCACGCCTCGGCCTCCCAAAGTGCTGAGATTACAGGTGTGAGCCACCGCGCCCGGCCTCTAATCAGTATTTTCTTTCTAATCACCTAACTTCAGGGTCGTACTTCTCCAAATGTTTCCTTTCCCTTCATCTTAACTGAAACCTAGTTGTCTCCTGATGACTTCTTCCCCTGTAACCCTTTCAAGCATTTTCTAACACAGTCCACTTATATTGGTTCAGGATAGGGTGGTAGGTATCCTTCTCCCTCCCTATTGCCACATTCTCATTGGGAAAGTAGTAAGAGATGAAGATAGAAACGTAGCTCGTGGTCTTTCTCTCCCAGGAGCAGAGAGCTCCTGTCTACATTGGAGATTTCAGTATTCATGAATCGTAGCAGCTCAGTTTCATTACTTACATCTTCTTGCTTCCAATAGTCCCATCCTCCTTAACACTCCCATGGTCATAATCTAAACTGTGCCTGTTCCAGATGAAAATTTCAGGTATCCAAGTCTCTGATGGCCACTGATATCTTTCCAGGTTGTTCCATAAATGCTTCAATCCCACCAGGACCTCAAATCGATTTGCCCTTTTTACTGCTCATTGTTCCCCTCACATGCTCATTTCCCTTATTACTTGGCTGAAAGTTGATACCTCATCACCCCAGGACCACAGGATCTTTTCCAAAGCCTGTGGGAACAAAGCTGTTTCAGAAATTAGGCTTTAAAAAATTGTGGTCAAATATACATAACATAAAATTTAGCATTTTAACAATTTTTAAATGTACAGCTCAGTAGTGCTAATTACATTCACACTGTTGTGCTACTAATCTCCAGGACTCTCCATCTTGTAAAACCGAAACTCTATATCCATTAAAAAAAAACAAAAACCTCTCCATTCCCCTCTCACCCCAGCCCCTGGCAATCAACATTCTACTTTCTGTCTCCCTGAATTTGACTACTTTAGGTACCTCATCTAAGTGTTCATACAGTGTTTTTCTTTTAATAGTTGACTTATTTCACTTGGCATAATCTCCTCAAAATCTATACATGTGTCAGAATTTCCTTCCTTTTTAAAGCTGAAATATGTAATCATAGTTCATTCATTCATTCATTAATGAATGCTGATTGCTTACACATTTTGGCTATTGCAAATAATGCTGCTATTAACATGGGCATACAAATACCTCTTCAGTACCCTGTTTCAATTCTTTTGGGCACATACTCAAAAGTGGCAATACTGGATTATAAAGTAATTCCATTTTTAATTTGTTGTCTGATCATCATTTGTTTTCCACAGTGGCTGCACCATTTTACATGCCCACCAATAGTCCACAAGTGTTCTAATGTCTCCAGCACTTGTTCTTTTTTGTTTGTTTGGTTTTTTTTGTTGTTTGTTTTTTGTTTTTTGTTTTGAGACAGAGTCTCACTCTGTTGCCCAGGCTGGAGTGCAGTGGCACGAGCTTGGCTTACTGCAAGCTCGGCCTCCTGGGTTCATGCCATTCTCCTGCCTCAGCCTCCCGATAGCTGGGACTACAGGCACCTGCCACCACGCCTGGCTAATTTTTTGTATTTTTAGTAGAGATGGGGTTTCACAGTGTTAGCCAGGACGGTCTTGATCTCCTGACCTCGTGATCCGCCTGCCTCCGCCTCCCAAGGTGCTGGGATTACAGGCGTGAGCCACCGCGCCCGGCCTGTTGTTTTGTTTTTATAGTAGCCATTTGAATAGGGTGTAAGGTGGTGGCTCATTGAGGTTTTCATTTTTGTTTTCCTAATGATTGGTGATGCAGAGCAGATTTCCATGGGCTTGATGTCCATTTGCATATCCTCTTTGGAAAAATGTCTATTCAATTCATTTGCTCATTTTTTAATTGAGTTTATTATTTGGTGAGTTGTAGAAGTTTTAAAATATATTCTGGATATTAACTTCTTATCTAATTTGCAAATATTTTCTCCCAGTCTGTGGGTTGTCTTTTCACTCTGTGGATAGTATCGTTTCATACACAGGAGTTTTAAATTTTGATGTAATCTAATTTATCAATTTTTATTTTTGTTGCCTGGGCTTTTGGTGTTATACGAAAACTGACCCAATAGTTCCATAGATAGTTTTTTGGATAAACATAGAAATTGACCCTTCTGGTCTTAAAGCTTGAAACTTATATTTGTTTTATCTGAGTTCTGTTCATTTCTTCTCTGCTATATAAACCCTCGGTTTCAGTTGGTCAGGGAGACGGATTTGAGACTGATCCTCATTAAAGCCTTCTTCCTTGGCAATACTAGTTGTCTCAATCACTGGTTTTCTGTGCAGTGGCTTTCTGTGTGGCATGCAGTAGGGCCTAGACCAAATCCCTGATGTTTCAGTAACAATAGCCAAGAAATCATTACCAAATCCAATGTCATGAAAATTTTCTCCTATGTTTTCTTCTAAGTATTTTATAGTTTTGTGTCTTGTATTTAGGTCTTTGATACATTTTGAGTTAACTTTTGTATATGAAATAAGGTAAGGTCCAATTTCATCCTTTTGCACATGGCTATCCAGTTTTCCCAGCACATTTTGTTGAAAAGACTGTCTTTCTCCACTGAATGGTCTTGGCACTCTTTAATATCATTTGATCATATATGAGAAGCTTTATTTCTGGGCTTTCTATTCTATTCCATTGGTCTATATGTCTATCTTTGTGCCGCACTCTTTTGACTATTGTAATTTTGTAATAGGTGTTGATATTGAGAAATTTGAGACCTCCAACTTTAGTCTTCTTTTTCAAGATTGTTTTGGATATTCAGAGTCCCTTGAGATTTCATTTGAATTTTAGAAAAAATATCTCTATTTCTGAAAAAAAAAAGCCATTGGGATTTTTATAGGGATTGCATTAAATCTATAGATCGCATTGGATAGTATTGACATCTTAGAAATATTAAGACTTCCAATCTATGAACACAAGGTGTGTTTCTGTCACAGGATCCTTGGAGTGTCACTTTTCCAGCTGGAAGCCTCTGTGGCTGGTGGCACCTTTGCCCAAGTTTTGCTCAGACCTGCTGTGCTCATTCTGGCCACTTGGCCTGGCAGGCTGCACTTGGCTCATGCTACCAGCCTGGACCCCACAACTGCCAAGGGCGAGCCAAGCATGGAGTGGTGAAGGGTGCATGAGTGAGCACGGGGTCCAGTCACTGTGCACAGCCAGGCACACCAGCTGCTGTGGCAGAGTGGGCAGCTACAGGCACTGGCATAGGCAACAGCTTCATGCAAACCTGTGGCTGGATCAGATGCACTGCAAAGTGGCTTTTGTTGTGGGCACCTGCGTCTGGATGAAGGGAATACAGTGGTGCCCAGAAGCTTGGAAATGCCAGAAACCACAGTGCCCCAAAGAGGGTGTCACAGCCCTGGCTCAGGGAGTCCCTAGGTCTGGGCTCCTAAAAGGGCTACAGCTCTTCTCTTCTTCTCATTGCCTGCAGTGTGGGGGGCATGTTTTAGCCCTTTTTGTGTTACAGCTCTTTCAATTCCACCATTCAGCGGGTCCCAAGTTCTTGTCCTGCATCCAGGAAGAATGAGATACGCAGACAATTGGAGGGTGAGCAAGGTGAAGAGGTGCTTCATTGAGCGACAGTACAGCTTTCAGGAGACCCAAAGTGGGTAGCTCCTTTCCGCAGGCAGGTGGTCCTGATGAACACAGCTCTTACTGGAGATGAGATTCAGAGTGGGTAGCTCCCATCTGCAGGCAGGTCATCCCATCATCTCTGTAGCCCTCAGTGGAGAGGAGATATGGAATGGGTAGCTCCTACCTGCAGGCAGGTCTTCTTGATGTCTGCCGGAGTCTAGCTGAGTCCGGGGGTTTTTATGGGCTCAGAAGAGGGGAAGTGCATGCTGATTGGTCCATGGGTGGCCATGGGTCGGCCTAAAAAAAGCACCATAAGTTCTCACTCCCAGCTACAGACTCCACCCGGAATGGATCCTGGCCCCCAGGCTTCAGGTCCTTCCTGGCTTGAAGGTGGGGTTTCAGTGGGGACCTGCCCCTTTCCACCCAGGAGCCTGTCTGCCTCCTGCTGCCATCTACATGTCATCCATGGTCCCCAGGCTGTTCATGTGGAGTGGCACCTGCAGGCCTGCATTGAGCCATCCTCAGTACCCCCTCGGCCTCCCTCCCATGCTCGTCAGTGCCCAAAGTCCAGAGGGGCTGAGGCAGCAGGGAGCTGGCATGTCAGCACCACCCTAAGTGCACACACACCAGCTGGGTTGCAACAGTGCCCAGGCTCCACCTCAGTTTTGCTCCAAAATCACAGTACCAGGTGCTGGGAGAGGCCAGGCAGTGGGAGCAGGCACTTCCAAGCCTGCGGGATGGGAGGGTTTCTCGCCCCAAGAGCACAGGGATGCCTGGGTCTGCAGCCGCAGCTGGGCGGCTACAGCTGTGCCCAGGAAGGTGGGGCTCCCACCTGGCCAACTCGGAATGGGTCATGGCTCCCTCCTGTTCCCAGCTTCCACTGGCTCTGCGGAGCACACAGCCCTAAGCGTGCTTCCCCTGCTGCAGCTGGCATTTCTGCAGTGGCTGCTCCAGGTGGGCCACCACCATCATCATTTCCATTTGTTAGTGTCTTCTTTAATTTATTTCAGCAAGTTTTATAGTTTTTTTAATACAAGTCTTTTGTCTTCTTGACTAAGTTTCTTTATAAGTACTTTATTCTTTTTTATGCTATTTTAAATGGAATTGTTTCCTCAATTTCCTTATTGGCTTCTTCATTTGTAGTATATAGAAATACAACTATTTTGTATTGATTTTGTATTCTGCAACTTTTGTTTAAACTTTGTTTATATGTAGCAGTTTTTTTGTGTAGAATCTCTAGGGATTTCTACATATGAGATTATATCTTCTGTGAACAGATAATTTTACTTCTTCTTTTCCAATTTGGATAACTTTTTTTTTATAACTTTTCCCTAGATAAATTTATTTCCTAATTGCTGTGGCTAGGACTTTCAGTACTATGTTGAATGAAAGCAGTTAACAGTGGGTATCCTTGCTTTGTTCCTATCTCAGAGGAAAAGCTTTTGGTCTTTAACTGTTGAGTATGATATTAACTTTAACCATTGAGTATGATATTAACCATGGAGTATGTAACCCTTCATATATGGTCTTTATTTATTATGTTGAGGTAATTTCCTTCTATTCTTTGTTTGTTGAATGCTTTTTATCACAAAAGCATGTCAAATTTTGTCAAATTCTTTTTCTACATCAATTTAGATAATCATGTGCTTTTCTCCTCTTTCATTTTGTTAATGTGACATATTACATAATTTCCATGTGTTGAACCATCCTTGCATATCAGAAAAAAATCCCACTTGGTCATGGTAAATAATTTTTTAATATGCTGCTGAATTCAGTTTGCTAATATTTTGAAGATTTTTCCATCAGTATTTATCAGAGATATTGGTCTATAGTTTTCTTTCCTGGTAGTGTCCTTGTCTAGCTTTGGTATTGGGGTAATGCTGACCTCATAGAATAAGTTTGAAAGTGTTCCCTCCTCTGCAATTTTTTGGAAGAGTGTGAGGCAGAATTCAAAGTCTTAAAAAACTTTTAGAAATGTAAATATATATATATATATGTATATATTAAAATGTACATAGTGTGTAATAATGTAAAATAATGTCAAATGTAAAAGAGAGAGAGAAAGGGAGAGAGAAACATACACACACCCCTCACATATTATAGAATACCCCAAGTAGGGATTCAGGAAATACATTGTTTTCATTAATAGTTATGCAGAAAAACGTAAGAATATCACACTAAATGGGATAAAGAATAGAATTAACCTAACATAAGGTCAGGTCAAGTTTTCACACCAACTGATTTTGAGCACCAAACTAATGAAAAAGCTTTCAGTGTTCAGATCTTTTTTGGATTTGGGAATTGCAGCTAACATTGCAGGGTGCTGTGAAATCACTTCCTCATATAGATCTTCCATTTAGTTATTCCCCTTGCACTCCATTTCATTTATTGGTAAAACCTTAACCCTGATGAAATGTAGTTCTCCATCTACTCAATTCCTCCTTCTGGGTGGCTGAACATGGCTGGGAAAAGAGAATCAGGCAACCAGTCTCATTTTAATTTCATGACCACAGACTAAGGAGGCCTTCAGTGTTTCCCAGCAAACCTGAACATCTCCCTAGTCAAATTTATTATTCCACATCTCTAAGATCACTGTTTCATATCTTCTCCCTTCTTACCAAAATTCCAACACATCTCAGCTGATGACCTTCCTGGGTTTTGTTTGTTCTCCAATTTCAGAAATCACCATCATCATGCATTTAGCAAAACGCTTTGTATTTTTCACACTGAAAAAAGGAAACAGTTTGAAGAGCAATTCTATATCCACCCATCATCAACTCTATCAACCTACCAGCAGCTGTAACCTGCACTGCCTCAACCCCAGACACAAACTACTTCAGGCACATGTTTACTGGGATGTGTAAAATGGATCTGAGACTTGACATGTTGACTACTGAACTCTTGATTTTTCTGAACTCCAAACCTGTTCCTTTCCTGACATCTCCTAGGCCAGTAAATGGCTCCTTCATCCACCAGATGCTTAGAACAAAAATCTTAAGCTCACCCTCTGCTTCTTTCTCTCATACACAATATCCCAGTTATCTTGGTCTTTCAAATATCCGGAATCCAATCCCTTTTAACTACTCCACCAGCTCACCCATCTGGACTCTGTGGTAGCCAACTCTCTGATCTCCTGCATTTTTGCTCTATTGCAGCCTATTCACCTCACGGTATGTATTGCATTACACTTAAGACAAAATCTAAACTCTTCATCAAGTCCCATGGGGCTTTACATGATTGGCATTTGCTGTTTCTCTGAGCTCTGACCATACTCCCCATTACTCACCCTATTCCAGTCACGTTGGCCTCCATGCTATCTCTGGAGTACCCAAGTCTGTCTACCTCAGGGCCTTTGTACTGATAGTAATAGAAGACAGACAAATTCCTAGGCAGACAGGGACAGGTCCCTGGTGAGACCCAACCTTCAAGCCAAAGAGAGTTTAAAGCCTGAAAACCGAGCTGCCATTTCTGGATGGAGTCCACACCTGGAATGAGAAGTTCTACCCCCATCTTACTCTCTCTCTCTCTTAATTGGTTCCTTCAGGATGATGCCTTTTAACCAACTGAGTGGTGCTTTTTGCAAGCCCACCCACGGACCAATCAGCATGCACACCCCCATTCTAAGTCCATAAAAATTGGTGAATTTTTTAAATCACCAATCTAAAATAGCACATCCCTCATTTTCTAACTCCTCTCCCAGACTACTGGGTCTTCATCTGCTTTCTTGTTGCATGTAATCATGTGTCTACAAACTTGCTCATTACTTAACTCCCCATTTGACTCCCCCAAAGGAAACTGAACTCTTTACTTTTTTGTATAGTTCTCAGAGATACAAATATCTCTTGATTAGTCACTACAATTTAATAAGTGCTTGCTAAATATTTGTGAATGAATGAATGTCATTTAGCAATCCTTGTATCAAGGAATGAACAGAAACTATCAGTAGCTCTAGTAAAATTAAGAGAAAAGAAGTGCTGAAAGTAATGAAAAAAAAAAAAAAACCCAGAGCTCTTTTGATAATCCATGTATTCCCTGTACCATGAAAAGTTGACATGGCTATATGTTTAACTATAATTTTCTGCTCCTTGCATGTAAATACAGAATATAAATACAGACTCCAGTAAGTATCAGTTGTTAATGTTCTCTGAATTTCAGAAAGCATTAGCAGTTAATATAAATCTTATGTTAGCACTGTATTATTAATATCACTCATGCCACTTTTTTCCTTTTTATTTGCTGCTTTACCATTTCCCTGTATTTCACAATTTACCCTTAGGAAGCTGTCTACTATTCTTATTTGGTGATATTAGAAGGTGGATATGCAAATACACAATAAAATAATAAGCAATGGCTTTGCCAAGAGGAAGAAATATTTTTACTGATAATTTGCTGAAGTAACTGAATGAGTTACTTCTTCTCTACAAGGGATAATTATTCTTTTCACTTAGGGGTGGTTATTACATCTAACATATTTGCTTTGTTTTAAAAAATCTTAGATGTGTTAGGAAAATGTATCCTGAGATTGTTTTATATTCTTAATTGAAAAGCCTAGGAAAAAAATAAAAGACATCAAGTCCATTAACAAAAACAGCTTTGCTTCAATGTAAACATCTCATAAACTCTTATTTTAAGGGAGGAAAAACTACTAAAACAGTTAATTTTAAAGTTTAAAATTGCCAGCCCCCATTTTTTTCAAACATACATGCATTTATTTAAGACCTAGAAAGCTAATAATCTGACATATTTTCAATTTCTGATGAGAAACCATAATTAAAACATCTGCTTCTATGTGAGTCTTTGCTATATGTACACATATCTTCACTGTATTATGACTGATGTTAAATTTTTGTATTATTTAATGTTGGACTTCAATTTCACTCTCATGTACTAATAACCTTCTTCCACTATTACCTAGGGCAGGGGTTCTTAAACTTAAGGATGCATCATAATCACCTGGAGGACTTGTTAAATCACAGATTGCTGGACTTCACTCCCAGAGTTTCTGGTTCTGTAGACCTCAGGTGGAGCAGATAATTTGCACGTCTAACAGATTTCAGGGACCATACTTTAAGAACCAATGACCTAGGAAAACCTAGTTTTCTTATAGAAAAACTCATTTTCTTTGTTTTTCACTTGCTCTTGACTTTCTTCACTAGTGTCTGGGGCACTAGTGTTCATACTCTTTAGAAATATAGTGGTTTAAACATAGTATATGGAATCTGCATCTATACATAGTGGGAAAAGTAGAAATTCATTTCTCCCTTTTGTGAAACCAATGGCAGCAGCCTGTGTTCTCTGCCACATTATATCTCGATAGCATCTCATTCATTTACCTAAACAAAGACCACTGGTGAGAAGGTGACCAGCTAGTCTTGGTTTGCTACTTTTATTGTCCTCACTGATGCCTTCTATAAGCTCTTACTTTTCATTTCCTCTTTTTCCCAAGAGCTTTATCAGCAGAATTTAATGTATTACACAGTGCCAAGGAACAGTGACTATTTTGGGGGATATGAACCAGGAAAGAAAAAAGGGACATAGATTGTTAAGGAAAACAAGAAATGTCTTTGATTGTTGAGCCCTAGGAAAAGTAAGTGACTGGCAGGCAAAGAATTCTCACCTTCCAGTTCTTTTACTTCCCACCTATCTATCATTTGTGAGGGATGATGCTCACTTCCCATTCCATATCAAATATGACTCGCTCTTTACTCTTAGACAAATACATTTAATGTTTCATATATAGGCACCCAATTTGAAGGTATTACCACATATACAGGTCTGCTTGTTAGGGGGTTGGGGGAAGACTTTGATTCCCTCCAAAAATCTCATCTGTCCCCAGTCTTCTTCATCCCTGTAAATGTAATCTCCTATCTGTAAATGGAATCTCCTATCACTCAGCTGGTCTCGCTCCAAAACAAGAAGTTATCTTTGACTTTGTCCTTTCTCTTACCCCTGTATTCAGTCCATCTCCATTTTTATTTGCACCACTTCTGTAACTGTGCCACTCATCACTTGAAAGACAAAAACTCAGGAAAAGAGCTTTGATGAAAGGAAAGTTAGCTTTATTCAAGAAGCCAGAAACCCGGGGAAGGCAGTGAATTAGCATTCAAAGACCACCGTTACAAATTGTCCCTCTAGATCAGGGATTTTTAAGAGTAATGAGGGGAAGTGATATCAAAACATTCTTGTGAAATGTGCACAGTCTCAGGCAGGCAGTTACTCATTGCTTTCTAGGTCAATGCCGGTGACCTTCTGCAGGGGCCATCAACCTGTTCTTACGAGGCCGGTCAGCTCATTCCCAGAGTTGTTGGTCGTGTCTTTTATTTCTGTTGAAGGTCCTGTTTTCTCAAGGCTGTTTTAGTGAATAATCTCCACACTCAAGCAAAACAATAATTATATTCAAGCAAGCAAGCTAGCTTTTCTCTAACACGGAGTCAGTACTGTTAAACTTCTAAAACATACCCTAAGTCTGCCCATATAATTTATCTCCATTGCTTCTGCACTCAGCTGAGTCACATCATCCTTCGCCTAGTTGACTGCAATAGTTTCCAAACTGTTCTTCCTGCTCCCACTCTTTTTCTTTTTGAGATGGAGTCTCGCTCTGTCACCCAGGCTGGAGTGCAGTGGTGAGATCTTGGCTCAGTGCAACCTCCGCCTCCCGGGTTCAAGCAATTCTCCTGCCTCAGCCTCCCAAGTAGCTGGGATTACAGGTGCCTGCCACCAGGGTTTTGCTATGTTGGCCAGGCTGGTCTTGAACTCCTAACCTCAGGTGATTCGCCCATTTTGGCCTCCCAAAGTGCTGGGATTACAGGCATGAGCCACCACGCCCAGCCCCTGCTCCCACTCATGATGCTGTATAATCTGTTCCTCACATGTCAGCCAGAATAGTCTTTTGTTCTAAAACATCAATCAGAGCTTGTCTCCTAGGATCGCAATATCTTCCTCTTGTCCTTCAGTAAAATGCCACCTCCTTACCATGTCCCTGTATGATATCACCCCCCTACTTCTCTCTGTGTCTTTCTCTTTGATAATTTTTTCCTTGGCTCACACTCCTTCAGCCACTTGGGAGTTATTTCCATTCCTGGAACATACAAGTTTGTTCCCACTTTAGGGCATTCGTACTTACTGTCCTTTCTGCCCGGAATGCTCTGCCTTCATAACTTTGCAGAACTGCTTTTTTGTCATTAAATTATTGGCTCCAAAGTCACCTCTTCTGTAAGGCTTTTCTTGGACACCCAATCAAAATTATGCACCAACCCCTCTTCACCCCATATTTGACTTTTTACATTTTCTTGCTTTATTCTCTTCATAGCATGTATGGATATCTGATACTAACTTGTTCATTTATTTGTTTACTGGTTGCTGTATTTCTTACAGACAAATGGAAGCTCCATATGATCAGAAAATGCTTCTGTCTTATGTGTCACTATATCTTCAATTCCTAGTGAATGCCTAGCATAAATGTATTGAATGAGTGAATCAGTGCTTTTTGTATGACTTTTAAAGAATAGGGGTTTTGGCCAGGCGCGGTGGCTTACGCCTGTATTCCCAGCACTTTGGGAGGCCGAGGCAGGTGGATCACCTGAGGCCAGGAGTTTGGGACCAGCCTGGCCAACATGGCGAAACCCCATCTCTACTAAAAACACAAAAATTAGCTGGGCATGGTGGTGTGTGCCTGTAATCCCAGCTACTTGGGAGGCTGAGGCATGAGAATTGCTTGAACTTGGGAGGTGGAGGTTACAGTGAGCTGAGACCATGCCATTGCTCTCCAGCCTGGGCAACAAGAACAAAACTCTGTCTCAAAAAAAAAAAAAAAAAAGAATAAGGGTGTTTCATTCCATGACTATTTTAGACCTGTTGCCGCTCAAAAAACTATTTGTGGAGGCTATTAAAATAGTCCCATTAGCATCAGTCATGTTGCTGCTATTGAAATTCTATTAAAGAATAAGTATGGGATTTGGAGGCTGAAATATTTAGCATCAAATACAGCCTAGGCAGCCACAGGGGCCTAGGATATGCTAAAATTGCTGTTCAGTGTCTTTGAAAGAAATTAGTTCAGAAAATGTATGACATATAAGTATTTTCTACTAGTAAAACATTTTTAAGATATTCTGCTTAAGAGATTAAAAAACACTATATTTTGGCCAGGCGTGGTGGCTCACGCCTGTAATCCCAGCGTTTTGGGAGGCCAAGGTGAGTGGATCACAAAGTCAGGGGTTCAAGACCAGCCCAGCCAACATGGTGAAACCCCATCTCTACTAAAGATACAAAAAATTAGCCGGGCATGGTAGCACACACCTGTAATCCCAGATACTCAGGAGGCTGAGGCAGGAGAATCACTTGAACCCAGGAGGTGGAGGTTGCAGTGAGCTGAGATTGCGCCATTGCACTCCAGCCCAGGTGACAGGGCGAGACTCCATCTCAGAAAAAAAAAAAAAAAAAAACAAAACAAGCAAACAAACCAAAAAGAAAAAACCCACTATATTTCAATAAAACAAATGATGTTTACTGATTTCCAAGACTCAGAACACCTGCATTTACTGACAGAGCAAATTAAATAGCCAGAGGTCCCAGATTCTAGTATGTTAGAATCTGAAACAGAAAAACAGAAAAATGTATTTAAACAGAAAACATATATAGTTAATATAGTAATAACAGTTAATATTTATTGACTGCTTGCAGTGTCCAAAGCTCTTCACATGTATTAACTCGTTTGATCCTCAAAACATCCCAATGAGATAGGCAATTTATTACCCCTATTTTATAGAGGGGTAAAGTAAGTCACAGAGAGGTTAATTTGCTCACAGTTAGACACAGCTAATAAATGGTAAACAGAAAATACGATGTGAGGAATGTCAATCAAATTGTTATAATCTATAACATTTATTTTGGGGTTTGGCAATTGGAATGGATGATTGTGAATAAGATATGTTTATATGTTAACATGTACTCAAAGTTTCTTGTGTTTAAAAAGTTAAATTGTGTGTTGTTTTGAGAATAAAACTAATTTTCATCCAAACAAAACAATGTAAAAACTCTTAAGTCAAAGTCTAGCCTTAGAAGACTGACAGACTCTTAAACTAGAAGCTATTAAAAAGGTTTTCTGGACCAGGCGCAGTGGCTTACGCCTGTAATCCCAGCACTTTGGGAGGCCGAGGTGGGCAGATCACAAGGTCAGGGGTTCGAGATGAGCCTGACCAACATGGTGAAACCCCATCTCTACTAAAAATACAAAAATTAGCCAGGTGTGGTGGTGCGCACCTGTAATCCCAGCTACTCAGGAAGCTGAGGCAAGAGAATCGCTTGAACCCAGGAGGTGGAGGTTGCAGTGAGCTGAAATCGCACCACTGCTCTCCAGCCTGGGCAACAGAGCAAAACTCCCTCTCAAAAAAAAAAAAAAAGAAAAGAAAAAAGAAAAAACGGTTTTCTGCCTCCCAGCACTGTTTTTGTTTGTGGGTTTGTTTGTTTTTGCCTTCAAGCATAGTACCATAGGACTGGGTCCTACTTTGGAAGTGTCTCTAGGAATAAAAAGCAGACATTAGCCACAAATAAATTACAATCAAATGTGTAGCAAGATAAATTCAAACTTTCTTTCCTCAAAGACTTCTGTCCTTTTTAGTTTCTCCTGTGAAACACGTTCCTTCCTTTAAGGAAACAAGAGGTTTCCCCAAAATAAAGAAACTCACATATTCATTAAACTTCCCTTGATTCAAGGCAGCCTATTTTACATGAGAAATATACCCAAAGGTTTACAAAGTGTCTATAAATAATTGAGTAGATAAAACATGTAATATGTGATGTACTAGGAGGTCAGCTTTAGAGAATGCAGAACAGTGAGCTACTGTTGCAGAATTTTGCTCCTTAGTTCAGCTAAAACCCAGGTTCTTGTCACACGACCAGGAAAATTTAGGCACATGGACACATTGAAGGGTGAGTAGAGCAGGGTTTTATTGGGCCAAAAGGAAAAAATAAACTCAGCAAAGCGAGATGGAGTTCCTGCTAGCCAGCCCCCACCACCTCCTAGATTGTTTCCTGGGTCACCACACCAGCTGAAGAGAGCAGGCTCCTAGACTTTGTAAGGCACGAATTCCTCCTGGCTCCACCCACTTCCCCCAGTGCGCATGTCGGGCTCCAGTCGCTCATCTGCACAAAAGCATCTGATATAAACACTTGGGCGGGTTGGAGATTCTCCGAGGACCCCTTTTTCACCTGCCTAGGCATTTGGCTGTCTTATTACTGCTAACCAAGAAGAAAAGAAACTACAAGTTCAGAGGGAGGGCCATCACCGTGGGTCACAGTGATACTGAGGAGTCTTGGGGAAAAAGATCCTTAGTTTGGCCTTGAAGCAGGAGTAACATTGGAGATAACAGGAAAGAAGAGACAATAAAAACTATTTAAGTAAAAACAAGGAAATAGGAAAGAATCTATTCTATCTGTGGAACAGGGAGTAGAAGAGTTTGGCTGTCACCAGCGTTTGTGTAGGTGTGGTAGTAGTAAGAAACAAGCTCACTGTGACATTTTTAGGTCAGACTGTGAGGAATCTTAGATTTTGTACAAAGTGGTTTGATTTTATCCTGCTCTTCCTGAGAACTGAAGGTTTGAGTTGGGCAATAATATGTTCAAAGGGATGCTTGAGAAAAACTTATCCAGTGTGAATCTGTAACCACCCAATGGGTTCATCTTGTCTTCTGCCCTGATAGATGTATCAAGACAGGGGAATTGCAATAGAAAAAGGGCTTAATATACATAGAGCTAGCTAAACAGGAAACTGGAGTTTTATTATCACTCAAATCAACCTCCCTGAAAATTCCAAGGCTAGGGATTTTCAAGGATAGTTTGGTGCGCAGGAGGGTAGGGAATGGGTGCTGCTGATTGGTTGGGGATGTAATCATCTGGGTGTGGAAAACAGTCTTTATGCACTGAATCCAATTCTGGATGGGGACCACAGAGGAGTCACTGGTACAGGTGGGCCTCAAAAGACATCTCAAAAGGCCAATCTTATGTTCTAAAATAGTGACGTTATTTACAGGAGTCATTGGGGAAGTTGTAAATCTTGTGACCTCTAGAATTGTGGCTGGTTATCATTGAACTATGCCTACATCTTAGCAGAATTTGGGCCCCTGTCATCCTCCTAACCTGGTGGGCTTTCATTAGTTTTACAAAGGTGGTTTAGTTTTTGGGAAGGGCTATTATCATTTCTCCCAAAGTTAGCTTAGCTCACACCCAGGAATGACCAAAGGCAGTTTGGAGGTTAAAAGTAAGATGGAGCTGGTTAGGTCAGATCTCTTTCAATGTCATAATTTTCTCGCTGTCATAATTTTGGCAAAGGCTATTTCAGAGCTTCAAGATACAGGGAAGTGAAGAGGCAGAGGGCAAGTGAAGATGTCAGAGACTATCAAAACACAGCTTCTTTCTCCGATGAAGAGCTATAGCTAGTCTATAGATGGGCCCAGGAGAGTTTTACAAACATGCTTTTATTGCATTTGCTGTTTAAAAACTAAAATTCACATGATAAGCCCTTCAACAGAAAATCTTGTCAGCAATGTTTCCGGAATATCTCCAGAAACAAACCACAACCACTATCACCATTTCCCCCTCTACCATCTTCTTTCTTCACTGTCACCATCAATTCTCAAGTGGCCTATTTCAGTTGGCCTCTTTTCCCCACTCCATCTCTACGATATCATATTCTCCACACATGAGCCAGAATGATACTTCTGAAATTTAATTCAGTTAATATCACTCCTCTGCTCAGAACCCTCCATAGGGCTCCCATTCACACAGAACACAACTCCCAATCCTGAACCTGGCCCCAGCGCTGCCTCTCTGCCTCATTATTTCCCCCTCTCCCCACCCCACTCACTCTGCTCCAGTTACCCTGTCTTCCTTGCACACCTGTGTGTTCCTGTTTCAGCGCCTTTGCGTTTGCCATTGCCTCTGTCAGAACTCCCTTCCTGAGGTTTATTTGCGTGGCTAACTCCCTCCATTCCCACAGGGGTCTACTCAAATGTAATCATAGAACTTCTCCACCCTGTATCAAATAACACTAACTTTTATCACTTCCCTCCCCTTACCCTTTTTAAAAACAACTCCTTTTATCAGTTGACTGTTATCTTCCCTGGCAGAAAATCAGCTGCAAGAGGGCAGAGACTTTGTTTGTTTGGTTGGTTGGTTTGGCTGTATCCCTGGCTCTGAGAGCAGGGACTGAGAGCAATGCTCCAAAAATGCTTGTTATTAAATTATTTAATCTCTGGATGCCTTGGAGAGTCAGAGAAAGCCTCTCTGTCTTCCAAGGCTCCCTAATACTTGGTCTCGCTGACTGTGTTCTGCTGTTGTTCAGGATGAGAGAGAAACCCAAAGTCAAGAAACACTGACCTCTGTAAAGAAGCCAGTAGAAACATCAGACAGTCACAGGCATTTGCCAAACTTGTACTGCCTCCTCAACTTAGATGCTAGTTATTGTTGAACTGAAAAGTTAAAGTTAAATGGCAATAACATATGATAATTCCACTATACTAGAGAGTGCAGGATGCTTATCAAAATCCATGTTCTCTTCTTCCAGATACCTAAATAGATTATGTTTCTCGGCCACCTTGCAATTAGGTGGGGCTAATAGAAGGTGGCTGAAAGCAGGAAATGCAAACCAAAACCACAATGTGATACCAGCTTACTCCTACAAGAATGGCCATAATCAAAAAATAAAAAAAAACAGATGTTGGCATGGATGTGGTGAAAAGGGAACACTTCTACACTGCTATGTGAATGTAAACTAAAACAACCAGTGTGGAAAACAGTGTGAAGATTCCTTAAACAACTAAAAGTAGAACTACCATTTGATTCAGCAACCCCACTACTGGGTATCTACTCAGAGGAAAAGAAGTCATTATACAAAAAAGATACTTGCACACAGGCTTATAGCAGCAGAATTCACAATTGCAAAAATACAGAACCAGCCCAAATGCCCATCAATCTACGAGCAGATAAAGAAACTGTGACATATATATATATGGAATATATATATATGGAATATATATATATGGAATATATATATGGAATATATATATATGGAATATATATATATGGAATATATATATATGGAATATATATATATGGAATATATATATATGGAATATATATATATGGAATATATATATATGGAATACTACTCAGTCATAAAAAGGAATGAGTTAATGGCATTCAAAGCAACTTGGATGGGACTGGATAATATTATTTTAAGTGAAGTAATTCAGAAATTGAAAAGCAAACATTGGATGTTCTCACTTATAAGTGGGAGCTAAGCTATGAGGATGCAAAGCCATAAGAATGATACAATGGACTTTGGGGAATTGGGGGGAAAGGGTAGGAAGAGGATGAGGAATAAAAGGCTACAAATTGGGTTCCGTGTATACTGCTCGGGTGATGGGTGCACCAAAATCTCACAAATCACCATGAAAGAACTTACTCATGTAACAAAATCCTACCTGTTCTCCCAAAACCTGTGGAAATTAAAAAAAAAAAAAACCTTAGGTTTACTGAGCTATTATGTACTTACTAAACATCTAATAAATTTCAGTTAAAATTTAAAATTTAAAAAAAGAAAGTAGCTGAAAGCACTATGTGCCCCTTCCAGGTCTGGCCTATTAAAGAAAGCAAAGCAAACCAAGAAAGCAAAGCAAACCAAATGACACAAAGCAAAACAAAACAGAAACCTTTTCTCCACATAGTCTTCCAGGCTCTTTCTCTTTCTGTCTGCTAGATACTGATGCTCCAGGAGACCTTGGAATCCGCATGTTGAAGCTGGCACAGTATCTATTTAATATCTGCTTGGGTCCCTGAATGACAGCCATGGAGCATATTATTTTATTTGGCCATAGAAAGAATTGAAGTGCTGATATATGCTACAACATGGATTAACCCTGAAAACAAATCTA
Source organism: Homo sapiens (assembly GCF_000001405.40). Classification (NCBI taxonomy): domain Eukaryota; kingdom Metazoa; phylum Chordata; class Mammalia; order Primates; family Hominidae; genus Homo; species Homo sapiens. The sequence continues at coordinate 142,104 of NW_025791811.1, read as the reverse complement.
AGTGAAAGAAGCCAGTCACACACAAAAATCACATACTATATGATTCTATTCATATGAATGTCCGCAATAGAGAAATCTGTAGAGGTAAAACATAGATTAGTGGTTGCTTAGGGCTGGGGTAGGGAGGATGGGAGTACAGGGAAGGTGATAGCTAAAGGATTTGTGGTTTTTTCTTAAGGTGATAAAAATGTTCTAAAATTGACTGTGGTAATGGTTGCACATGTCTGTGAATATTCTAAAAAACCATTGAATTGTACACTTTAAATGGGTTAATATATAATTTATAATATGTGAATTATATCTCATTAAAGCTGTTTTTATTTTTATTTTTTATTTTATTTTATTTTTTGAGAGTCACTCTGGAGTACGCTGGCTGGAGTACAGTGGCGCAATCTCAGCTCCCTGTAACCTCCGCCTCGCAGGTTCAAGCAATTCTTCTGCCTCACCTCCCAAGTAGCGGGGATTACAGGCACACACCACCAGGCCTGGCGAATTTTTTTGTATTTTTAGTAGAGACGGGGTTTCACCATGTTGGCCAGGCTGGTCTCAAACTCCTGACCTCAGGCAATCCGGACGCCTCCACCTCATAAAATGCTGGCAGATGTAAGCCACCCCGCCTAGCCTAAAGCTGTTTTTAAAAAGTCCTTTACATGGCTTCATGTTTCTGCTTGCTCTGGCCCCTGGGTCATTGCTCTGATGTCTTTGCTACCACCTCAAAGGATTTAAGCATGCCAGAAAAGAAAGTTTAAACTATACTGAAGAAAAGGAAAAAAAAGCAAACAAAAAGTCTTGACTCTTCTTAGAAGTAGTAATTCACAAAAAGGGCCGGGTGTGGTGGCTCATGCCTGTAATCCCGGCACTTTGGGAGGCCGAGGCGGGCAGATCACCTGAGGTCAGAAGTTCGAGAACAGCCTGGTCAACATGGTGAAACCTGTCTTTATTAAAAATACAAAAATTAGCTAGGCACGGTGGCATGCACCTGTAGTCCCAGTTACTCGGGAGGCTGAGGCAGGACAATCACTTGATCCCGGGAGGCGAAGGTTGCAGTGAGCCAAGATCGTGTCACTGCACTCCAGCCTGGGTGACAGAGTGAAACTCGTCTCAAAAAATAATAATAATAATAATAATAATAATAATAATAATAATTGACAAAGGAAAAATTTTAATGTTTCAGTATAATTTACCCAGAAAATTATGTAGGTAAATCATGAATATTTACTTCCATAAAGCTTTTTCTACCTTAATTCCTGCATTATTTTCTACTACTCAGAAATAACCTGCTAAAACTATTACCCTACTTAAAAAAGATTAATTGTAATTATATAACTTCTGAAAAGGACTTTTGGGAAATATTGTTTTTTTAAAGCCAGTCAGAAGATTTTCTGTACTTTCCACCCATTATAAATTTGTTGTAATGTGTAAGGCAATATCAACGCCTTCATTTTTTTAGCTAACACGATTGACATTACCATGACAACTTACCAGTGGAAGGTAAATTGGTTAAATTCTCCTACTATTTTATTTATAACATTTAGCTTTTAATGCTTGGCTCTGTAGTTCAGATGACAATATAATAGATTTAAAAGGTTTTTATTCATAAAACATATGGATTTCTAAAGTGAAGTAAGCCATCTGTCATTTTGATTTGAAAAAAGCAAGAATTAGAGTAATTGCATTAAGCTTGTATTTTTGCCATGAATATATGAATTTTCACTTTCCTGTTGTTTCATTTGAAAAAAACTCACACATGAACAAAATGAGCAACAGTCTTTTTCTTTGTAGGTATCAGTGAACGAAATCAAACAATATTTATCACACATATTGGAACAAAGAACATCTAGTAATGTAATCAATAAAAGAGAAAATCTCCTGGAGAAAAAGAAGAATCAACGTAAAATAAGAATAAAAGGAATTCAAAATAAAGATATCTTGAAGAGAAATAAGAATCATTGTAAGTAGAATATCTTTTCACATGTAAATTTAAAATGACTACATGCAATATAAAATCAAATTTTAGAGCTACTTTCTGAGAAGTCTTAGGATATAGTCATAAATATTTATACACACAAAAGCATTAAATTCTGCAGTCTTCTACCTTTGTTTTATTTTAATTTATTTTATTTTTTTGAGACAGGGTCTCACTCTGTTATCCAGGCTGGAGTGCAGCTGCATGATCTTGGCTTGCTGCAACCTCCACACCCTGGGCTCAAAGATACTCCTGTCAGGCCAGGCGCGGTGGCTCACGCCTGTAATCCCAGCACTTTGGGAGGCTGGGGAGGGCAGATCACGAGGTCAGGAGATCGAGACCACAGTGAAACCCCGTCTCTACTAAAAATACAAAAATTAGCCAGGCACGGTGGCGGGCACCTGTAGTCCCAGCTACTCGGGAGGCTGAGGCAGGAGGATGGCATGAACCTGGGAGGCAGAGCTTGCAGTGAGCCAAGATCGCGCCACTGTACTCCAGCCTGGGTGACACAGCGAGACTCCGTCAAAAAAAAAAAAAAATAGATACTCCTGTCTCAGCCTTCTGAGTAGCTGGGACTACAGGTGTGTGCCACCAGGCCCAACTAATGTTTTTAATTTTTAGTAGAGACGAGGGCTTGCTATGTTGCCCGGGCTGTTACCCACTATTTTAGATTCAGAATTTGTGCTGATGATAATAAGGAAGGTTGATAATCACAAAATGTGTTCTTCTGACACAAGTAAATACAGAAAAGTGATCACTGCTAATAAGAGCAATAGATAGAAATTGAGAACCATGGGTTATGAACCATGGGTTATGGAGAAGAAAGAGAATAGTTTTGGGGCTGGATGAACTCATTGATGTTAGTCTCTGTTTTTTTCTGAGAGTCCAGCTTTGACAAGGATTTTCAAGTTTTTAAATCTTAATATTTTAAGCGTATTTTTTTCCTCACATTTAGCTCCAAAAGACTGGTTCACTGCCCATTTGAAGAATTGGCTCTAGATATGACATCGAAATGTTGACATGCTTAGCTAACTGAAGTTAGGGATTTGGCAGGAAACAAATAGCACATTTAAATTGAGTCATCTGAGAAGAGTTTAATAAAGAGACTATTTATTTCTAAAGGCGTAGACAGGATATAGGGAAACCACAAAGTTCCCCCTGGGGCCAGTAGCAGGACTGGCATTACCACCCCATGGCCCTGAAGTGCCACAGGGCAGTAGTGGCTACCAGAGGTATGTGGAGAAGGCTCTGTGACAGAACTATGGTCTCAAGTCAAGGACAAAGCCAGCCTGCAGAGACCCGGATTGAGGAGGCAGGGAAGAAACAGCCCCACCTCACTTCCTGCTTACCCTTCATACCTCCTGCTAGTGATGCTCTTCAAGCAAATCTCTTCAGAAGCAGGAAGGAAAGGGAGTCCATTGATGTGGTGTGGTCCTTAGGAGTTAGAGTCCCAAGGCACAGAGCAGGATGGAGTGGGATCTAGAATGGCAATCAGAAGGCCGGTGGCCATTGCCTATGCCTGTCATCCAAGCGCTTCAGGAAGCTGAGGTGGGCGGATTGCCTAAGCTCAGGAGTTTGAGACCAGCCTGGCCAACATGGTGAAACCTTGTCTCTACCAAAATTACAAAAAATAACCGGGTGTGGTGGCATGTGCCTGTAATCCAAGCTACTTGGGAGGTTGAGGCAGGAAGTTCACTTAAGGCCAGGAGGCGGAGGCTGCAGTGAGCTGAGATTGCGCCACTGCACTCCAGCCTGGGCGACAGAGGGAGACCCCGTCTCAAAAAAAAAAGGCCGGGCACGTGGCTCACTCCTATAATCCCAGCACTTTGGGAGGCCAAGGCGGGAGGATCACGAGGTCAGGAGATCGAGACCATCCTGGCTACCACGGTGAAACCCCGTCTCTGCTAAAAATACAAAAAATTAGCAGGGTGTGGTTGCAGGCGCCTGTAGTCCAAGCTACTCGGGAGGCTGAGACAGGAGAATGACGTGAACCCGGGAGGCGGAGCTTGCAGTGAGCTGAGCTGAGATCGGGCCACTGCACTCCAGCCTGGGCGACAGAGCGAGACTCCGTCTCAAAAAAAAAAAAAAAAAAAAAAAAAAGGCAAAGGCAATTAGAGGATATCCAACACACCTGGCTTTCCAGACAGGGGAGATTAGATGGCATGAACTAAAAGGATAAAGACCTTTTAGGGGCACACAGTAGAAGCATAGTTAGTAAAAGTGAAGTTTCAGAATCTTAAGAGTAAAAAGGAACGTTAGAGGTCCTCATCTAAAAGTACTAAGTCAGTGTAGTGGTCAGGGTTCAACCAGAAAAAGATTAAAAAAAAAAATAGTAGGAGATGTCTATACTTAGGAATTTATTGCAAGTGAGTGGCTTATGCGATTGTGGGGCTGGCGGGGCAAGTCCCATATCTAAAGAGCAGGCTCTCAGGGAGAACAGGCTGGAGCTCTTGGGCATGAGCTGAAGCTGCTATCCACAGGCGGAATTTTTTTCTTCCTCAGAGAAGCCTCAGTTCCATTCTTAAGGCTTTGCAACTGATGGAATCGGGCCAACCCAGATTATCTAGAATAATCTCCTTTTGATGGGTTTTAATCATTGCTACAAAACAGCATCACGGCAACAACTAGATTCCTGTTTGGATAACTGAGGATGATAGCCAAGCCAAACTGACACATGAAATTGACCAACACAGCCAGGTGTCTCCTAATCCTTATGTGTTTGTCTACATTTTTTAATTTAAGTGTAACATTTTACATTTATGTGTATTAAACTTCACTGTGCGCATTTTACATTAACAGGCAGTTTACATTTATATGGATTAAACTTCATTTTGGACCATTATTCCAACCTATTGATTGCATTAACGAATTCATTAGCTATTCTCTCCTAGCTTTCTGTCATTTGAAATTTTGACAAGCATATCACTTCCGATCTTTTACCCATGTTCTTGTTAGAGAAGTTAGCAAGATGGGCCAAATTTAGCACCTAGGGCCCGCAGTAATACACCAGAAATCTTTAGAATTTTGTTGTTGATTGGGTATCTTATTGGTGGGTGGGTAATTGTAATTATTTGGTCAGGAATATCTGACCAAATATAGATAAGATAAAAATCTGCATGTGATGTGGGTGAAAAATTCTATTTACTAGAATGTCTTATACAGTGTGCACTGCCTTTATACGGCAGTGTGCCGAGGGCCTGGGGTCATGTCTTAACAAGCATTCGTGGCTGGTAAACACCCCCTCCTGCTCTCCCACCTCCCTGCAACACAGAAGCCTGGTGTCAGCTGATGCCAAGTCTTCAAGGATGGAAAGACATTGCCCTACAGAACTAGGGAGAGGAACGTTGACATTTTGTTTTTGAAAGGGTGAGAAGAAAAGAACAGGAGAAGAACTATGAAAACAGCAGATGTGAGGAGCAAGAAAGATGGTGATTGGCTGCGCTAAACTGAAAAGTTAGTGAAACTTCAAAGTTGGGGGATTCCAACTGATATTTTTAAATCAGCAATGTCTAAGGTGACCATTAAAAATTGTTTTTGTTCCTAGGATAACTCATCTTCTCTTCTGCTCTATGAAATCTTAGATAAAATGTGTATTCCTCATAAACGTTTTGTAAGAGTAAATATCCTTTTGGGACAACTCAAAGAGATATTAAGTCTCACTGTGGGTCCATGCGACACAGCTTGGGAACAGTACCTATTTAGTTAGGAGTTAAGAAAGTAGAGGAAGCCACGGAGAAGCTACCTTCCCTAGAGGAGAGTTTGAACTTCATAAATGTGGAATGAAACAAGAATATGAGTCACACATGATTATCAGACTGGCTCAGAACCTTATTGAACTCTATTCTCATTTAGTTCCCATTTCAACATTTTGTGCACAGGATATGCTTGAGATATAGGTGTTCTATAAATGCTATTCCACAGACCTACCGGTCCTTCACAAAAGAGAAATAGGATTTAACTTACTCTGAAAAATTATTTCTAATTCTTAGTGATTAAATATTCTTAATGGAATGCTCACAAAACACATATAATAATCTGTTCTAAAAATTAAAGAGATTAACATCAAGTTATAGTTCCAGAATATAAATAAATTTCTCTACATTTTAAAAACAGAGAAAACTATTTAGCCATTTTTGGAATTTTGCCACTTGTCTCTTTACCCAGAATTTCTCACATATAACAAGTAGCATTTATACCCCCATAGCTTAAAGGCAAGATCTGTGCCTGGCACTGTATCTGTCGCATAGTTGGAATGAAGAAATATTTGCTGAATTACATTGAGTTGAATTCTTTTTGTAGAGAGCTAGGATGTAAACTAGATCTAACTCCAAATTTAGCATTCTCTGTATGCTGTGTTACAATATAGTGCTACATAAAAATAATAAGGCTTAACGTTTTTAGAGTACATTTGGATAGTATTTTATAGTTGAACATGATGCTTTCCCATCCATTACCTTTTCTGAAATGGCATGTTCACTTTTCCTCAGGGTATTTTAACACCATAACTTCAACAACTAATTCTTCCATATGAGTCAGAATGAAGTCTAAAAGAATAATTATTTGTATTAAATTGTTAGCAAGACAAATCAATAACCAATCATGCAGTAGGAACAGTGGAGCCTATTCCTGCAGGCCACTGGGACACTACAGGCCATGTCCTTCCTGGCACCCCTTAGAATTAATCATCATTAATTTTGATGATCATACCCAATCACCACTGTGCTCTTGGTTGAAGGGAGGTATCTTGGAACCTTGTCTTAAGTCAGTCTTGGCATTCCTTTTTGCTGCTTCTGGGGCCTGTGACCAGCTAGGCTAAATTTAACATTTGCATTCCATTTTATTGATTATTTTTCGGCATATTTGGAATGGACACTGTGAAGTGCTGTTCAGACCCCCTTCAACGAGGAACTATTTGCCCAATTGCTGGAGTACAGTCTCTAGACAGCCTTTGGCAGTCAGTCTCTGAAGGGACTGTTTTCAGCTACAGAGTGCTGCATAGCCAAGGTCATGCCTCCTTCCTGGGGCAGCTCACTTCCAATGGCCAGTTGATACAGCAGTATGAAGGCAGGATCATCTAACCCTAACCTGAGACAACTCTAACAGGCCATTTTAGCGCCACAGAGCTCCACCTGTGGGGTCAGCCAGGTGTTTCTCTTGCAGCCAAGTGAGCCCGCATCGCAGTTTCTCCCTCTGCCCAGTCCAACTTCTTCTTTAGATGTGGTTCTGAAGGTCACTTTTTTTGAATTTTTTATTTATTTAATTTTTTTTTGTTTGAAACGGAGTCTCGCTCTGTCGCCCAGGCTGGAGTGCAGTGGCGCCATCTCCGCTCACTACAAGCTCCGCCTCCAGGGTTCACGCCATTCTCCTGCCTCAGCCTCCTGAGTAGCTGGGACTACGGGCGCCTGCACCACGCCTGGCTAATTTTTTGTATTTTTAGGAGAGACGGTTTCACCGTACTAGCCAGGATGGTCTCAATCTCCTGACCTCGTGATTCGCCCGCCTTGTCCTCCCAAAGCGCTGGGATTACAGGCGTGAGCCACGGCTCCCGGCCCTGAAGGTCCCTTCTTAACAAAAACCCTGACTCCTAGGATCTGCTTATCAAGGAGCCCAACCTGCTCACCATTAATGCCTTTCCTAGTATTTACTACAAGTTTTTCTTTAAATCAGCTCACAGTTTTATGTAAGTTAACTGATTTTAAAAGGAAACTACTAAAGATCTCTCATTCTAGCAAAATGGTGGGTTAATCCAATAGGAAAATCCTCTTGCTACAAATACCTAAAAGTGTTGCCTAAAGTATGTCATAACTTTAAATGTTTTTAAAGGCAGAACTGGGCTCACAAGGAGCTGAAATCCTCAAATGTTAGAAATAATGAAAAGTAAGTATGTAGTCGATGTTTTGGCGAGTTGTAGTCAGAGCTGATAAAGGCTAAGCCTTGTATTTTAAGTCCCAGACCAGGGAAGGAAAAAAGACATTAGGACTTTTGAGAAGGGAATCGGAAAGAAGAGCTATGAATAAAGCTAGGAGTCTCATAGAGCTGTTCAGACAGCAAAAGAGAAGATTAGGGAAAACCAACCAACCAACCAATCACCACCCGCCATCGTAGGCAAATATCAAGGAAGCTTGTTCTCTACCGAAGCTCTCACAGGGAAAAACCTCTCCCTGGTAAAACCTTAACCACAGCCCTGACCCTCATACAGATTTGGATTTGAATTTATGCCACCTGATTTTTTGGGTGAAAACTTCTAAACCAATATAAAATTTTTCCTCAGTCAATAAAATAATGACTCTGGAAACCTGACAGAAGCAACAGAAACTCACTCTAGAGAAACAATCTCACAATTCCCACAAAGGAAGACTTACTGGACTCACAAGAAAATTTTAGAAAATACACAAGTGACTACACACACACAATAAAAGGCATAGCACCTCAAGTATTTTTTTTTGTGAGGTACAGAGTTTCACTCTGTTGCCCACGCTGGAGTGCAGTGGTGCAATCTCTGCTCACTGCATCCTCCTTCTCCCGGGTTTAAGCAATTGTCCTACCTCAGCCTCCCTAGTAGCTGGGATTACAGGTGCGCACCACTATGCCCGGCTAATTTTTATATTTTTAGTAGAGACAGGATCTCACCATGTTGGCCAGGCTGGTCTCGAACTCCTGATCTCAGGTGATCTGCCCGCCTCGGCCTCCCAAAATGCTGGGATTACAGGTGTGAGCCACCGTGCCTGGCCAGCACCTCAAGACTTGATAGAGTAGAACAACCTGCAAAAGTCTACAGAATAAATATATTTTAAAATGGTTAAGAAAGCATGAAAACAAGGCATCCTGACAAAGGAATAAGCAGCCATGTAAAAGAACCAACCAGAGTTAAGAAAAATGAAACGCCTGTAACCCTAGCAGTTTGGGAGGCCAAGGTGGGAGGATCACTTAAGTCCAAGGATTAGAGAACAACCTGGGCAATACAGTGAGAGTCTGTCTCTATGAAAAAAAAGAAATTAGCCAGGCATGGTGGCACATACCAGTAGTCCCAGCTACTTGGAAGGCTGAGGTGGGAGGATATCTTGAGCCCAGGAGTTTGAGATTACAGTGGGCTATGGTCACACCACTGCACTCTGCCCTAGGCAACAGAGTGAGACCCTGTCTCTTAAAAAAAAAAAGAAAAAGAAAAAGAAAATGTGTATTCATCCAAATTAAAAATCAAAGGATGGCTTAAGAAGATCAGACATAGTAGAAGAGAACATTAACAAATTACCGGAAAAATCAGAAGAAATTGTCCTGAATGCAGCCCAGAAAAAAAAAGAAAAACAAAAAAAAACCAAGTTGAAGAAGAGATACTCTTAGATTGAAAGAAAAATACCATACTTGACTATCTGCTGTTTGTAAGAAACATACTTAAAACATGATGCACAAAAACTGAGGTTAACTGAATAGAAATGATATCCCAGGCAACACTAATCAAAAGAAAGCTCATATTAACTTCAGACAAAATAGACTTCAAGGTAAAGTCAATAATAGGGAGAAAAGGAGAATCACCACATAATGTTCAAAGGAACAATCACAAGGAAGTTGTGATAATTCTAAGCATGTATCCATCAACATAATCTCAAAATATAAAAATGAAAAATTAACAGTCTTGCAATAGGAAATGAACAAATCCACAATTGTTGAAGATTTTTTAACATCTCTTAGAAACTGGTAGATTCAGCAAACAAAAAATTACTGAAAATCAAAAAGATTTGAATGTATAAAGCTCAATTTAATAATATATGGAATTTAATTCAATAATTAAAGAATATATAATATCTTTTTTTGTTTATTTGTTTTTGTTTTTATTGAGGAAGAGTCTTACTCTGTCGCCAAGGCTGGAGTGCAGTGGCACAATCTCGGCCCACTGCAAACTCCACCTGCCGGGTTCAAGCAATTCTTGTGCCTCAGCCTCCCGAATAGCTGGGACTACAGGCACGTGCCACTATGCTCAGCTAATTTTTGTATTATTAGTAGAAATGAGGTTTCACCATGTTGCCCAGGCTGGTTCAAGTGATTCACCCACCTGGGCCTCCCAAAGTGCTGGGATTACAGGTGTGAGCTACTGCACTCAGCCAAGAATATATAATCTTTTTAAGTAAAAAAATGGAAACTGTATAAAAATTGGCCACACACAAGGCCACAAAACAAGTTTCAACATAAACTGAGGAATCTATACGATTCTGCTGGGCTCCCTGATCCCAATGCAATAAAATTACAAGCCATAAGTAGACAATTTTTAAAAACCTTTTATGTCTGGAAAGTGTCATAAACACTTCTAAACGTTGTTTGAATAACTTAGAATGGAAATTTGAAAATATTTATAATTGATAATGAAAATGCTACATAAAAATTGTGGAATGCCACCAAAACAGTAATTAGAGAGAAATGTATTGTTTCAAATTCATATACTATGTTTGTGTCAAATTTAAGATGTCAAAAGTTATAAGATACACCATTGTTTTATGGCCACTAAGAAATAAAAGTGCTGTTGATTAAATATGATATCCTGGTGGTGGCCTGTAGCAACTGGCTAACAGACTCGGGATGTAACAGCCCAGCCCTGTTACCTGTGGGAAGGGAGTAACCCTCTAGTGCCATCCACCCTATAAAGCTCTAAACCTCTCCTGAAACCCTATACTTGCTTGGTTCCTTCCTATGCTCTGTGCTGCATTTCTCAGTCCTGGATATGTTTTACCACAAAATCTAAAATCTTAATACGTAAGTTTAAAAACAAATCAATCAATACTATCTAGAAAAATAAAAGGAAAAAGATAGCACATTCCAGTATTTTGAATCTCAAGTTATATTTACATCACAAACCACGTAAAGGATCATATAGAGCTAAAAAAAATTAACAAGTGAGCGAGGTGAATATCATAGTCTGACTAAAAATCAGGTGCTTTCATCATTAAAATGATACAAAGGGATAAAAATGGGAAATTATTTTCCTCTGCGGAAAATCTAGCCTACACAGACACTGCATCCTTTTTTTAAAATCTGATTTCAATTGTGCTTAATATAAACCAGCTTCAGCTTCAGATTTTGTGAATAATGCATCAGAAGAGTTCTTCACATTTGCCCTTATGTGTGTCAGGAAGATACAATCCTAGATGTGGAAGAAGAATAACGATCCATTACTAAAAATAACATTTCATCCAAGAAAGAATGACTCAGCAAAGAGTTTAGTCAAATAAAGATGCAATCGACTCAAATACGCTTGAATAAGAGCAAATATATTTACAATAATCAGGTTTACTCGCAATCTCCAGATCATTGTCAAACATAAATAACTCCAGTCATATTGTGAGAAATGGTAAAAAAAATTGCATTAAAAGTAGAAAGAAAATCTCTTTTCAGCAAGATTTGAAATAACAGGGATTGTGTTCTTATTTATTAATTATATAATAATGCATTATTGTATATTTGGTACAAGGACTTAATTCATTTTCAAAAACCTTTAATTTAGCAGAAAGAAATATGGTTCATGAAACAAGTGAAGAATCAAAAGCAATATCAATTATGTTGGAATAAGAGCTGAAACTTATAAAGCACTTAGATACTAGGCAGGTTTCAGTTCTTGTACTTAATTTTCTCACTGCCTTTGAGAAGAAGGGGCTATTATAATTCCCATTTTACAATGAGGTGATGTAGGCACTGAGAGGTTAAATAATCTTCCCAAGGCTATATAGTTGGTATCTAGTAAATGACGTTCCAAATCTAGGCAGTCTGATTTGAGTCTGTGCTCATACTGCTTCTCAAAGCTACAAACATGCAGAATCATGAGACAGAGAACACAAGTTAATATCAATGGATGAAAAATTTGAAAAACGGTTCCATAAATACATTTTTTTGCTTTAAAATAAATTTATTGCAAGTTGTTACAAGTATTTTAAGCAATGGGTTGTTTATTGAAAGTAATACTTTATTTACCTGACATTATTGAAAGTGTTTCCTGTAAATCATTTTTCCCATTAGGTGAGTCATATCCCTTTTTATTTTGACTGTTTCTGCGCCCGGCCCTGGACCCTCTTATAGTAAAGAAAATTTGATCAATCAATATCATAGTATTTTAGTATTTTAATAAACAGCGGCTGAGTGTGGTGACTCACGCCTGTAATCCCAGCATTTTGGGAAGCCAAGGTGGGCAGATCACTTGAGGTCAGGAGCTCGAGGCCAGCCAGGCCAGCATGGTGAAACCACATCTCTACCAAAAAGACAAAAATTAGCTGGGCGTGGTGGCATGCACCTGTAGTCCCAGCTACTCGGAGGCTGAGGCATGAGAATCACTTGAACCCAGGAGGTGGAGGTTGCAGTGAGCCAAGATTGCACCACTGCACTCCAACCGGGGCAACAGAGTGAAGAAAACGAATAATTGAATTCCAATACATTTGGAAAGCCAAAAAAGAATTACAAATAAAAGTAAAAGCCATAGGTAGAAATTTGTGGTGGTAAAATCATTTCTCATATGTATATGTATACAGAGCCAATCTTTCAAAATTTATTTTCACTCTCTAAAAGCATTTTCATAGGAGCTATTATTATTCCACACACAGATTATTAGGTTTTCTCCATTATTTTCCCCCTTTAATTAGAAGTATAGGTAACAGATAACTCAGAGCAGAAATTAGATCCTGAAAGTGCCTGGTATTACTAAATTGGTTGGATAGTGTGAAGTATTCAAAATAATTTTAAATAGGCTTTTCAGTTAAGAATTTTTTTAGTTTTTAAATTTTTAATTTTTTAAATTTAATTTAAAAAGAAAAATGAGCAACTCTGATTGCTTGTCAGAAAGATAAAAAACAAGAGCTACTTGTTCTTTGTGGTCTTGTTAATGAGGCATCAAATCCCAAATGCCTTTCCTTTGAAATGGCTTCAAGCGTGGTTCTTCTAATCAAAGATTTTACTAAGTGTTGTAATGGACTTCAAGAGGCACTGTGATGTTATAAAAGGCTGTATGTGTGTGTGTGTGTGTGTATGTGAGAGTGTGTGTGAGAGAGAGAGAAAAATAGTGTGTGTGTGCATATGCACACATTGGTGGAAGGATCTTTATATCTTTAAGTGTGACTCTTCCCACAACCAGCTTTCCCCAACTATAAACTGGTGATGATTTTTTAAAAATTGCAAAGTGTTACATAAACGTTTGGAAAATATCACTGTAGCAGGTAAAATTTAATTTCTTCATTTTCCTTGAATTCTGCAAAACTGATTCTGAGCCCTCATCCTACGAGGCAAGTTATCATGAGTATTCTGTCTCTGTGCCTTCCCCTAAGTCTTAGAAAGGGTCCTGGGAGGTGGAAAAGCCTTAGGTAGAATTTTTTTTTTTTTTTTTTTTTGGGACGGAGTCTCGCTCTGTCACCCAGGCTGGAGTGCAGTGGCCTGATCTCAGCTCACTGTAACTTCTGCCTCCTGAGTTCAAGGGATCCTCCCATCTCAGCCTCCCAAGTAACTGGGACTACATCTGCACGCCACTGCCCAGCTAATTTTTATATTTTTTAGTAGAGACAGGGTTTCACCATGTTGGCCAGGCTAGTCTCAAACTCCTGACCTCAAGTGATCCGCCTGCCTCGGCCTTCCAAAGTGCTGGGATTACAGGAGTGAGCCACCTCACCTGGCCAATAACATTTTTTTTTTTTTTTGAGACGGAGTCTCGCTCTGTCACCTAGGCTGGAGTGCAGTGGTGCAACCTCAGCTCACTGCAACCTCCGCGTCCCAGGTTCAAGCAATTCTCTGCCTCAGCCTCCTGAGTAGCTGGGATTACAGGTGTGTGCCACCACGCCTGGCTAATTTTTGTATTTTCAGTAGAGACAGGGTTTCACCACCCTGGCCAGGATGGTCTGGCTGGTCTTGAACTCCTTACTTCATGATCCACCCACCTCGGCCTCCCAAAGTGTTGGGATTACAGGCGTGAGTCACCGCGCCCAGCCAAGGAAATTTATAAAGCAATTCCCTCCTCCTCTCCTAGGTGCACACTGGTCATCTTGGAGATGCCTGTTGCCCATGTCCTCATGTTTTTTTGGAATCCTGTGGCTCTGGGATTTACTGTGCTATGCTCAGACAAGAGAGTCTTTGCCAGCCAGGGCTAAGATCCTGCCCCTCTTATATACCAGGCATCTCCTGCCTTCTGATCGGAGAACCTTGTATCCCTTCCCTAGACCAAAAGCATCCCTTCTCCCATCAGGAGCATCTCTCTTTCTACTTCACCTTCCAGATCCTTTCACAAAAACCAGCAGGGAATAAGTTTTTAGGCAGCTTCAGCCTTCTGACCTACCGACGCTCCTCAGCTAAGAAATAATATTAACAGATCTTCTTGAATGCAGAGGTTTAAAAAATAAGTAGAACAGAACTCTAATATGCCAACAAATTACTTTAGCACATTATTTTTAAAATATGGAACATAGAAGTAATATTGTTTTTATTTTTTGTTTGTTCATGTATAGTACAAAAGCAAGCAGAGAAAAATTTTACAGATGAAGGAGACCAGCTATTTAAGATGGGCATCAAGGTTCTCCAGCAGTCTAAAAGCCAAAAACAAAAAGAAGAGTAAGTCTTTATCCAGTGACCTTAGCCAAGTTGAATTTCCAGGTTAAGAAAAAAGAAAAATCCCAAATGTAGTTTATCATTAAAACTCATTGGGATAATGAGTAAGCCTATTTGCCCATAAACTATTGTTTTTAAAAGGATCAAATTGTGTTTAAAGAATCCCACAAATTATCACTCTAAACAAACAGGAGAACTGCATGTGAGATTGCAGTCCCCGTATTAAGTGAAATTGAGAATTAAGACACTGACCTGAGCATTCATGCAGAAATATTGTTTTGGCTTTAATTTATTAGATGATTCAAGTGAAATAAAATGTGTTATTTGAATTAGAGCAAGTTGTTGTATTAAAAATGCTTTACTTCTGCCTGGGTGTTTGTACAGTATCTTATGATTTTTAAAAGCACTTTCATGTATGTGATTCCATGTTATCCCCAGAACAGTCTTATAAGGTAAGAAGAGCTTAATTTTTCTCCTTTAAGAAGTTGGAAACAGAGATTCAAAGATGTTAAAGTGAGGTGAGCACAGATAGCTGGGAGGTGACCAAGCTGTGGCCACATGGTCTTGTTCCATGTTCACTGTTTCTCTTATCACTTTTCTACCTTGTCTAAAGGGGAGGCAGAAATATCTTCTCCCTCCACTCCACACTTCCAGTGGAGGGGCACAACCTGTGGTCACCCCTCAAGGCTCTAGCTAAAGCCTTGGGATCAAATCCTAGCTCTCTCATTTACTGGTTGTTTGCACTTGGATAAGTTACTCAACCTCTCTGTGACCCGGATAATGCAATCAAGCTCTTACAATAGTGCCTGACACTTAGTAACCAGGAAATACAGGTGTGTTAGTTTTATCTTGAGTCCCCTAACTGCTAAGTTGAAGGTATGGGGGCAAAGAAAGCAAGGGTATTTTGAACCAATAATAGAAAGTGTGGGCCCTAGCCAAGCACGGTGGCTCATACCTGTAATCCCAGCTCTTCGGGAGGCCAAGGCTAGCAGATTGCTTGAGGTCAGGAGTTTGAGACCAGCCTGGCCAATATGGTGAAACCCCGTCTCTACAAAAATTAGCCAGACATGATGGCGCGCACCTGTAATCCCAACTATTTGGGAGGTTGAGGGAGGAGAATTTCTTGAACCCAGGAGGCAGAGGTTGCAGTGAGCCAAGACCATGCAATAACACTCTAGCCTCTGGGTGACAAAGCCAGACTCCATCTCAAAAAAAAAAAAAAAAAAAAAAAAAAAAAGAAAGAAAGAAATAAAGAAAGTATGGGCCCTGAGCCCCCAACAAGGAGACATCTCTTGTTTTCACACAGAATAGGCACACCAGTCAGAGGAAAGCATCCCAGAGCTGTGGTAGCTAGCACCAGACAGGGCAGCAACAAAGTCCATGAGTTCTTAAAACCCAAACCTTTGAGAAGTATAAAAATACAGAGGATAAGGAGCACTCAACTATGATTCTGGTTATGACAACATCAACAACTTTCATTTATTAAGCACCTGCTTTGTGCTAGTTACTGTTTTAGGTACTTTACATGTGTAAATTATTCATTGCTCACAGTGATACCGTGAGACATAGATAATTATCTCCAAATTACAAGAAGGAAATGGAGAGTCAAAAAGATGATGTAATACTTCCTAAGAGACAAGAAAGAAGTGAGGGGGTGGTTCAACCAACCACAGCAAAACCTGGGCCTCCCACTGAATGTCCCTGGGGGCTGTTATAATGAGGAAGGGGTAAAATCAGATCCCAAAAATACAATCCAGCCTAATAGGAGCTCATCTCACTAACATGCCCACTGGCTAAATAAGTAAGAACAGAGAGTTCTCCAGCCAGCCTAGCTAGAAGAAACAGATGTGGAGCGCCAGTCAGGGGCTGGTCCCTGAGATTTCAGATGACCCCTAACTATAGCATGGGAGCCCACACAAAGAAGGGGCCCAACTAGGTGTGTTACATCAAGTCCAGGGAAACCCTGGATTTGGCCCAATGGGACAAAATCACTCTGAGAAGGTCCCAGGTAACCATCCACTCAACCTTGAAGGGGACCTTCCTCTTTGGCCTAAAGAACAGGGAGAAAGCCCAGTCCTAATAGCAGACCATCCATTAGTGTGGGAACCTTCATGCCTACCTGGGTGTCATTCAGTTTCATGCTATTCTTACCAAGACTGTCCTGCCCACATCCTTGCCCCAAAACTCAGTCTCCTGACCACCCCCGCCACCTTTTTTTGAGACAGAGTCTCACTCTGTTGCCCAGGCTGGAATGCAGTGGCACAATCTCAGCTCACTGCAGCCTCCACCTCCCCAGTTCAAGCGATTCTCCTGCCTCAGCTTCCCAAGTAGCTGAGATGACAGGTGCCCACCACCACACCCGGCTAATTTTTGTATTTTTAGTAGAGACAGGGTTTCGCCATGTTGGTCAGGCTGGTCTCAAACTCCTGAGTTGAAGTGATCTGCCCGCCTCAGCCTCTCAAAGTGCTGGGATTACAGGCATGAGCCACCACGCCCAGCCTCCTGACCCTTTTGAGTCGGTAGCAATGGAGAACTGAACTCTAATGGGCTCATAGAAAGAGATCTCAGGAGTTTCTGGGCAAGCTGGGTGAAGTTCTTGTGTTATCAGGATGGCCTGCTGTCTCCTTAAACAAGTTACATCTGTGCAGCCATGCCTAAGCATAGGGCAGGTGGAGAGAAAAATGATTGCACACCCTCCTGACCAAAGGAGAATAATTTCATTCCCGCTCATTCCTCTATCCTACCCTCTCTTTGCTTTGCTACTTCCTGGGTTGGCAGGACAGATGTAAGATAGGTTAAAACTATCCTTTTGGCTCCTCCACACCCACATCCTGGACCAATTCATTCATTCATTTATTCACTCATTCAGCCTCTTCTTTTGTATGAGTAGGAAAAATCACTGAACAAGTCAGTGCTGTTTAAAGTACAGATATTAAGCAAGCGTGTCAGAGAGAACAAATTTGTCTGAGTGAGTCAGGAAGCCTCACTGACAGCTAGAGTGGTCCTTCATTAAGAATCACTCCCCATCAGCAAAGAAGTTTCGAAGATAAGCCGTTGTTCTACACCAAGTTTCTGATGTGCCCTGCAGAAGCATTGAGCCCTTCCTCCCCCATCACCCACCTAAGCGTCCAATGCCAGACCCTGTAGAGACCATTCAGATAACTAATTAAATTGTCTTTTAGGATCTGCCCCTGCTGCCCAGCTTCTCCCACCTTTTTCCTTTTGGGGATTGCAGCCCACATCTTAATCTTACCTATCAGCAACTTTCTCCAGCCCTGGATACTGCTTCTAGTATCCCTTTTAGTGCCTTGGGTTTTCTGCTATGGAACCCATATGCCCACACTGCCCTTGGAATGCAAGACACCTAGAAGGATTTGTTTTGCAGCCTATTGCTGCCCTCTGGGTCCAGAGACTGTGTATAAAATGCTGGAGCTACTAGGCGTACTATTGGAGGCCCCTGCAGCCTATCTCAGGTTTCTGTGCCTTGGTCCATGCTGGTGCTCCTCCTGTCCCAGTAGGCTATAGAGTTGCAGCAGCAAGCCACGTGACAGAAAGGCTCAAGGGAGTCTGTATCCTGATGCCAGGCTCTCTTCCTGTTGCCTCTCTCTGGGTGCCAGACATTTGCCTTTAGTGACCTTGAGACCATCTGCCTTGTTTGCCTTCCCGCCTCCAGAATTTCAGCTGGCTTTGACCTGGGTTAATTTCTTTCTTGATCTCCTGAACTCCAGTTTTCTATCTCTTTTTGTTCCACTGGAGTACTCACCCTGTGTTTTGACATCCAGGATTCTAATGCCTACCTGGATGTTTCTCTGTCTGAGGTCCTTCTTGCCTGGACTACTCTGCTCCAGCTTCTGCCCAAGAGCAGCTTATTTTAGCCTCAGCATGGATGGGCTGTACATAAAGGTGAGTCTCCTGATCCTCCTAAATCAGAAGCAATGGTAGATTTTTATGGGGTTTTTTTTCCCTGTATTTGAGTCAAGGTCACAGGTAGAAGTTAACGCTTTCTGGTCTTTACCTTCAAAACGAAGTTATAAAAGTAAAAATAAATCCCTAAAATACTCCCTGTCTCTGACACATGTTTTGACCTTGCAAGACTCTCCATCACTTCTTATACCAATCAGGTCCAGATGGCTTCTGACTGGGTCTCGAAGAGTGCAGTGTAAGGTAATCCTGTGGCACCTATCATTTTAATCACTAAATGTTCACACTACTTACCACCTAATTATAGGAGAACAATTACCATGCTATAAAACTTTAGAATCAATGCAACTGTCCCAATAATAACAGCTAAATTTACTGAGTGCTTACTCTATACCACGCACAATGCCAAGCACTTCCCATGGATTATCTCATTTAATCTCCACAGCAACCCTATGAAGTGGGTGCTATAATGCTATCCCCATTTCATAGATTAGAGGGTCACAGAAAAGTTATATAACTTGGCTGAAGTTCTCCAACTAGTAAGTGGTGGGACCAGGATTTGAACCAGGCAGTCAGACTCTAGAGCCCTAGCCATTAAGGTTTTGTTTCATTATTGTTTTTCCAAAGAGTCTGACTTTGCTGTGTTGAAGAATATATTCTGTTTAGCAAATTAAGATATGAAGGGATCATCATTCTTCTGATAGTAACTTCCTAGAGGTTACATTCCAATTTTGATTATTCTTATATTTTTCAGAATTTATTTTATAAAACAAATATTCATAAATAATGGTGGTGGCCATGGGAGAGTTCAGTATTTTAGAAAAAGTTCCTCAATTTTTCACTTTACTCAGTGTATAAGCTTACTCAGTGTATAAGATGGTGTATCTTATATATTTCTGTATCAGTGTATAAGATGGTGTATGTTATATATTTCTCCTTTTTAGTAGCATTATTATTTGTGAGATATATTTGAAATTATAGCCTTAGACTGCTTTAGGAATGAAAAAAATCTACTGATCTAGAGATGTAATGAACTTCAGCTAAACTGTATGACAACTGGTTCCTGCTTGTTAGAGAGAAGTAGTATGAATAGTGTTGAAGAAGGAGAAGAAAATTTCATTTTTGAAAATCAAACTTGACTTTATATTCTTGAAACAGAGCCTACCTACTTTTTGCCAAAGCAGCTGACATGGGAAACTTGAAAGCTATGGAGAAAATGGCTGACGCTTTGCTATTTGGAAATTTTGGCGTGCAAAATATAACAGCAGCTATCCAATTATATGAGTCCTTGGCTAAAGAAGGATCATGTAAAGCCCAAAACGTGAGTTTTGAAGGAAAATGAAACCTTAAATAGCTCCATCCTGAAATAACTATAGACAGCATGTGAAAGGAGTTGAGCAATAGTATTCCAGCTCTGCTGCATGAACCCAGTCTAGGGAGGTTACCATAATGCACTGAAACAGTGGTGTCAGGGCAGGAGTACAGCAGAAGCCTCCGAACCCCCAACAGCTAAATTTTATATAAAATGTATTCACCTATATGAAGAAATATGAAACTGTCTATTATCTTAGGGTGACATGTTTGCATGATTTTTACTTTTCAAATATTTTATAAGCTAAATGTAATTCCTTTTCTATTTTAATAAATGCGTTCCATTTTATTCCAAGAATAACATAGCCATTTCATAGAAAATCTGGAAAACAGGGGAAAAAAAGCTATTTCCAAGCCAACCATCTTGATTCAACTACTATTAGGACTGCTTTGTACTTTTGCTTGGCTTCTTTCTTTGTGCATTTCTCTTTTTACATCATCCTAATCACAATGCAATTGCATATATCATTTTGCTTCTGGCTACTTTCACTTCATGCTGTAGCAAAAGCATATTTTCATGTTGCTATAGTCTTTACTATGAAAACCATTTTTTTCTGATTATGAAAAAAGTCTGAGAAATCAGAAAGTATGAAAAAGAAAGTAAAGTTTTCTAAAAGCTTTCCCCCCAGAGATCACATTTGTTACTATCCAGTGAAGTTCAGAAGCTAGACTTGCAGTCAGACAGACCTAAGTTTGAATCCACTCTTTCATTTGTTTTTTGAATAAGCTACTTAACAAAACCCTTTCACCTCCTTCTGCATGAAAAATTTGACCTTTGTTTCACTCTCTAGTTCTGTTTCCCTGGTGATCTGATAGAAATAAAATGCTAACTATATTTTTAGTTAAGCTTGCTTCTGATAGAAATGACCTCTGATTGGCAAACTGCCTTTGAATTGGGAGAAAAGATCATGAACTATAAATACCAGATGGGGGTAGTACTTCTTATGGGGACACTGGATACTGTGCCTATGGAGTTGTTACATTGAGAATGAGGCTTTTACGTCAGGGTGGCTCCTGCATCCACCCAATGTGGGTCTCATCTCCTTGCATCTGAGCCATCTTCTGAAGGACCAAAGATGGTGGTTCCTGGAAGAATGTATGAACTCTGCTGTAAGAACTCCCACAGAAAAAATTGGGCCAGGTGCGGTGGCTCATGCCTGTAATCCTAGCACTTTGGGAGGCCAAGGTGGGCGGATCACTTGAGGCCAGGAGTTCGAGACCAACTTGGGCAACATGGTGAAACCCCGTCTCTACTAAAAATACAAAAATTAGCTGGGCGTCATGGCACATGCCTGTAATTCCAGCTGCTCGAGAGGCTGAGGAGGAGAATTGCTTGAACCTGGGAGGCGAAGGTTGCAGTGAGCCAAGACTGTGCCACTGCACTCCAACGTGGGCGACAGAGCAAGACTCCATCTCAAAAAAAAAAAAAAAAAAAAAAATCCCACAGAAAAAAAGTCCAGATGCTATGCCATACCTGTCTTCATACACTGGTGGCGACAAAGCCCATGGGTGTCCTGTGAGTCTGTATGTTTAGTTGAACCAGAAGTTGGACTGGAAGACCCCTTGTAGATGGGGCAACCTTACTAATTTTCATCTGTAAAGTTAGGATAATGATGAAACATTGGGTACCGCATCCTTCTCGTTCACTGCTATATCTCTAACATTTAACACACTGCCTAGGACAAGAATTATAAGTTGAATGAGGAATTAATTAATTAATTATGAATGAATTTATGGAGTTATTGTGAGGATTAAAATAATGTGGGAAGACACTTAGTTTCATACCTGGAACACTGTAATCTTTCATTATAAAGAAAAGATATGTGGGAGGAGTAGGGATTAGGGAGATATTGGTCAAAGGATATAAAATTTAAGCAAGGAGGAGGATAAAAATAATATTATTACTCCAATATTATTCTTCTGGAATATTTTCTAAGACTCCATAGAATTATTTTTTTACAAAAACGAACAAATACTTTAGTTGCTGCTTCCTAACTTGCTCTTTATTCACTTAACAATGTATCATAGATGTCTTTCCATGTTAATATATACAGACCGACATCATCATTTTAAAAATCCATATAATTTTAATTAAATTAAGTTGCTGAATACTGCTTTTACATCAGGAACTCTTTCTTGAAATTACATGTGAAATAATGCAATAAACAGATTTGTAAATGTTATAATAAAATATGAGAGCTGCTAAACCTTCATTCCCCGTATTTGCTTAATCAAAAATATAAAGTTCCAAGACAGACCAAATGTTACCACAGATAACAGTTTCCTCCACTAAAAATGGTATCACTAAAGACCAAATGTTACCCTCACTCCACTCCCACCACTAAAAATGGCAACACCTAATTTCTTTTCAAACTATGTGAACATGAATTTTATTTTCTTAGTGTGTGTATACATTAGTTAATAAGTCAACAATTGTTTCTTGGATAGCTACTATGTGTCAAACGTAATGTAGTAATGGGGAGAGAAAGATTACTAGGACAGAGTCCTCCTAGGTCAACCTGAAATGCAAATAACTGCAGCACAATTTAGGTGGACTACAGTTAAGGTGCGTATAAAGTGCTTTAGTCACAGAAGAGGGTCTGGCTAGTTCTGCCTAGGGCAGGTAAAGAATGTTTCAAGGAAGAAGTGACATTTACACTCAGTCTAGAATATTGGATAAAGGAAATAACAAAGATTTCACTTGTTTGTATATAAATAAAGCATTTGATAGAAGGTCAAAATATGACTCCCAGTAAAGAAGTTCCAAACTTACATGAATGGTTCCTAAAACACATGAATTTTAGAGCTGAAGTTGGAGTTTCACTCTAGTTAACGTGGTTATTGCATCTAATTTGTGTTACTTTAGCTAATGTAGTTACATCTAGCCAGTTACATCTAGCTAGTGTTACTCTAAGTAGTGTGGTTATCACATGGCCACAAATATCCTCAAATCCCAGTTAAGTGACCATCAGTTGCTTGCCATTTTTTGTTTCTTTTTTTGCTATTGGTTTTAAGGAAAATCATGTGGAAGAATGTAATTGGCTGAGTGCCAACCCAGTGCCGGAAGGAATAACTCTAAATGTCTAACCACTGGCCACAAATTATTACAGCCATCTTTGTATTGTTGAGGCATTGTTGAGATGGTACTCTAAGAAATGTACAGTTACAGACCTCAGGGTGGCATGGTGTGGTGGCAGAGAAGAGGTTCCCAAACCAGAAATTATGACCATATGTGAGTCCATGTATTCTATCACATAATAGCTCTTCTATCTTTTGTTCATTCTTTTAGTATCTCTGAAGAAGTTACTTCTCTAAACCTTGGGTTTCCCAAACCTGTATCTATTATCTTAGGGTAAAAAGAGATTGATAGTAATACCCACATTACTTCACAAGGTTGCCATAAGAACTGAAAAATATCCACAAGAGTCCTTAGCAAATGTTAAAGAACATTAATGAATACTGTTGTGTAACAATTTTAGTCCCAACAGCATTGTCTTTGGGATCAGTCAGTTCTGGCTTTACATCTGAGCTCCACCTGGCCCCTAATGACTTGTCCTCTCTGGGTCTCAATTTCCTCTTCTGTAAAATGGGGATATTTACTTAGATACGTGTGTTTTGGTCTCAAGGAGAAACAGAAGACAGAACATGAGTGAGGACAAACTTATGGCCCAAAAGGCTGACATTGACCTGGTGTGCAAAATTCAGCTGAACCGGTTTGTTGTTGTTGTTGTTTGTTTTGGTTTGGTTTGGTTTGGTTTTTTGAGACAGAGTCTCGTTCTGTTGCCCAGGCTGGAGTGCAGTGGAGTGATCTTGGCTCGCTGCAACCTCCACCTCCCAGGTTCAAGAGATTCTCCTGCTTTCAGCCTCCTGAGTAACTGGAACGGAACTACGGGCTGTGCCACCACACCTGGCTAATTTTTGTATTTTTAGTAGAGAAGGGGTTTCACCATGTTGGCCAGGCTGGTCTCAAGCTCCTGACCTCAGGTGATCTGCCCTCCTTGGCCTCCCAAAGTGCTGAGCCACCACACCCAGCCTCTGTTTATTAAAATACTAAAATACTATGATATTTATTGATTTAAAAGTCTCTGCCCGACCCTCTCTTATGCCCTCCCTGACATCCACCCTTATTCCTCACTTGAATTCCCCTGCCCCAAAACTTCACATGATCTAGCAAGCATAGTGTTAACATCTGGATAAGCAGGGAGCCTCCAGGATCCTGCTCCCGGCACTATAGCTGGATTAAATTCCAGTGCTTTGATGGATTCAGTTCTATATTTTGACTATCATCCCTGTCACCACTATAGGAAAATCTGTTTCCAGTAGCAAGTCCCCTTGCAGTTGGTGTATTTCCTTGTGCAAAGAACAGCTCGTTAAAGAGATTCTGTGCCACAAACAATAGTTTGATGGCTGGTTGCTAGGACCAGACTGGCCACAGGCCATTCTGACCACAGTTCTCTAATGAGGCTGGCCCAGTGACCACCTTTCTTCTTGGGCCGTTTGTGCCAGCTTGGTACAGAAATCCTGCCCGCACTGCTGGAAGTATTGGGAACTGTGAGGACAACATAGCAACAGAAATGTGGGTAAAGAAGCTGGAGAAAGAGAGAGAGAAAATGAGAGAGAGAGAGCGAGACTGAGAGAAGAGAGAATGAAGACATCTACTATCTCTGAGGGAAAAGGGAAGAACAGTCAGAAATAAGGAAATATAATAGATGAGAGGAGCCTGGAGTGCCAGAGGTCTGGTAGGGACCCTATTTAACAATAACAAGAACAAAAAGATAGGAATTCCTATTAAAGTGACATTGAGGAGATAGAAGGGAAGAAATGCAATTTCTGGGTATGTACAAAGGGAAGCTGGATGGAGGAAAGGAGGCATAATTACTTCTTTTCATGCACCTTTAGTGGTTTACCTTGCAAAAATTCAAATAAACTGAAGGAAATCCTGATAAGGGCAACAAAAGCAATTAAGGTTATAAACAGAGTCCATTAAATTGATTTTCAGAGATTCTGTACCTTTCAAATAATGAGAACTATTAATTAACGGAATAGTCTTCATGAAAATGGTGGAAATTGAGGAAATTTCAAACAATCATACCCTAGAAGATGTCCTATAAAATACTGTACTTTACCAGGCTGGAGGTAGATAAGTTATATATTTTTCTATTTCTCATTTCTCATCCAGGAAGCAGAAATTAGAATTATAAAGACTCACTCTTTCCTTAATATTGATGAACTGTCCTCAATAGGAAATTTGTTAATTTGCCAGACAAGAAGGTTGGATGAAATCTCATTTGCTTTAAGAGTCAAAAATGGCCAGACACGGTGGCTGACGCCTATGATCCCAACATTTTGGGAGGCTGAAGCAGGAGGATTGCTTGAGCCCAGGATTTTAAGACCAGCCCTGGCAACATGGTGAGAATCCTGTCTCTACAAAATTTAAAAAATTGAAATTAGCTGAGCATGATGGTGCATGCCTGTTGGTCCAGCTACTCGGGAGGCTAAGGCAGAAGGATCACTTGAGCCCAGGAGGTCAAGGCTGCAGTGAGCTGTGTTCGCACCACCACACTCCAGCCTGGGCAACAGAGCAAAACCCTGTCTCAAAAAAAAAAAAAAAAAAAAAAAAAAAAAAAAGAACCAAGAAATTGATCAGCCAGGCATGGTGGCTCCTGCCTTGTAATCCTAACACTTTGGGAGGCTGAGGCGGGAGATCACTTGAGCCCAGGAGTTCAAGACTACCCTGGGCAACATAGTAAGACCCTATCTTTACAAAAAAATATAAATAAGTAAGTATTAGCCAGGAGTGCTGGCACGTGCCGGGATGTGCCTGTAGTCCCAGCCACTTGGGAGGCTGAGGTGGGAGGATCACTTGAGCCCAGGAGGTTGAGGCTGCAGTGAGCTGTGATCATGTCACTACACTCCAGCCTGGGCAACAGAACCAGACCGTGTCCCTCAAATAAAGAAAAAAAAAGAAAAGAAAAGAAAAGAAAAGAAAGAAAGAAAGAAAGAAAGAAAGAAAGAAAGAAAGAAAGAAAGAGAAAGAAAGAAAGAAAGAGAAAAAGAGAAATTACTCATTTGCATTGTATTGCCCTTAAAGCTTAATTTAATGGTGGTGATCTCTAAGTGTGGTACTATTTGTGGCAATTATTTTCTGGGTTTATTTATTTCTGAGATAGGATCTTGCTCCATTGCCCAGGCTAGAGTGCAGGGGCGCAATCATGTCTCACTGTACCCTCAACTTCCTGGGCTTAAACAATCCTCCCACCTCAGCCTCCCAA
The DNA here is from genome assembly GCF_000001405.40 of Homo sapiens. Classification (NCBI taxonomy): domain Eukaryota; kingdom Metazoa; phylum Chordata; class Mammalia; order Primates; family Hominidae; genus Homo; species Homo sapiens. The sequence goes on along the minus strand of NW_025791811.1, from coordinate 116,010 downwards.
GTAGCTAGGACTGCAAGCATAGGCCACCACACCAGGCTAATATTGTTTTAGTTTTTTTTTTAAGACAGGATTTCACTATGTTGCTCTGGCTGGTCTCAAACTCCTGGCCTCAAGTGATCCTCCAAACTCAGCTTTCCAAAGCACTGGGATCACAGGCATGAGCCACCTATTTTCTTTCAAAAAATGCTTTTCTGGTTTTTTTTCCCTCTAAATGTTTTATTCATGGGTATGTATTACCTTTGATATCAGAAAAAAATATTTAACTTAGATGTATACACTTCCTTGGTTACATAGTTTAAAATAGTTTTGCTGTGGATTATAAGAAAATTCATTCTATCATGTAAAAATAAACATCATTGACATATAAAAGAAAAAGATATGAGTGTTTCCCTATTTTATCATGCTTTATGATTCTATAATTATTCTATTTTAATGGCAAAGATTCCACATTTTCTTTATTTATTTCAAATTGAAATTATAAGGCCGGGTGTGGTGGCTCATGCCTGTAATCCCAGCATTTCAGGAGACTGAGGCGGGTGGATCACTTGAGGTCAGGAGTTTGAGATCAGCCTGGCCAACATGGTGAACCTCCGTCTCTACTAAAAATACAAAAATTAGCTGGATGTGGTGGCACGCGCCTGTAATCCCAGCTACTTGGGAGGCCGAGGCAGGAGAATGGCGGGAACCTGGGAGGCAGAGGTTGCAGTGAGCCTAGATGGGGCCACTGCACTCCAGCCTGGGTGACAGAGTGAGACGCTGTCTCAAAAAAATTTAAAAAATTAAAATACAGAAGCATTTCACAGAGAGACTATAGGTTATTAGAACTGTGCTAATACAGAAAAAAAAATTATTTTTAGTATCCACCTAATGATCATTTTGATAATTCTAGAATTACCTGCATTGAGCATTTCTTCTTGATGTTAATGTTCTTTTTGTATTAAAAGTACAGACAGTACCTGAGTTGTTCCTTAGGGTTGATTCACACTTTTGTTTGGTATGCAATTTGAGCTAAAAGTAATGATCACAGGTGCTTTCGAGCTTCATGCAATAATTAAAGGAAAATTGCTTAATCTTTTTTCTCCTTTAATAATAATTTCTTATATAAAAAGTAGAAGGAGGAATATTTAATGTTTAAATTGTTATTATGGAACTTGAGTAATTTACTTTGAAGTACAGTAAAATATTTGAACTTAACTCTGAACTCTATTAATTTAAATCCCAGCTACTGTAACAGTTCCTTAAAAACACAGCATAATGGTTAAGTTCAGAAATATGTCTTACAGGGGCTGGGAGCCCTGGCTTATGCCTGTAATGCCAGCACTTTGGGAGGCTGAGGCGGGCAGATCATTTTAGGTCAGGAGTTCGAGACCAGCCTGGCCAACATAGTGAAACCCCGTCTCAACTAAAAATACAAAAAATTAGCTGGGTATGGTGGTGCATGCTTGTAATCCCAGCCACTTGGAAGGCCGAGGCAGGAGAATCGCTTGAACCTGGGAGGTGGAGGTTGCAGTGAGCCGAGACTGCACCATTGCATTCCAGCCTGGGCGTCAAGAGTGAAACTCTGTCTCAAAAAAAAAAAAAAAAAAAAGGAAAAGAAAAAGAAATAAGTCTTACAAACAATTTGCTGAGCTTGACCTTTACAAACCACTGAAAGTGTCATTGGTATCATCACTATTATGTAGCTTCTCTTTCAATTCACAACATTTTTCTTTTCTGGATTAAGATTTAATCATTCTGTAATCCATCTCATTTTATCTCACCTTTATCTTAGAAAAGGACCAAATACTAAAAATGGACTATTGTAAAGTTGGTAAGTGACAATGCTCAAGTATTAAGGTATAGGACAGGCCAGGCATGGTGGCTTACACCTGTAATCCCAGCACTTTGGGAGGCCAAGGAGGGCGGATCATGAGGTCAGGAGATCGAGACCATTCTGGCTAACATGGTGAAACCCTGTCTCTACTAAAAAATACACCAAAAAATTAGCCGGGCATGGTGGTTGGTGCCTGTACTCCCAGCTACTCAGGAGGTTGAGGCAGAATGGCATGAACCTGGGAGGTGGAGCTTGCAGTGAGCTGAGATCACGCCACTGCACTCCAGCCCGGGTGACAAGAGTGAGACTCCGTCTCAAAAAAAAAAAAAAAAAAAAAGTTATAGGACAGTGCTTACTATAATCAACATATTTACTACACGATAGCCCGTAAGATCTTATGACTTCCTCTAGTGTCCTGGCATACTTCAAGTAGTATTTTAAAGATTAAATTAAAGCTGAGCCCTCCAGAGAATTAATTCAAAATCACCCATTGTTAGTTTTCTGCTAAAGAGAGTGGAAGTGTAACCCTGGGTTGATTATTTGAGGCTGGTAAAAGCATGGTTTTACTCTTTACTTTTAAGAATGAGCTTTATACTGAGGAATACGCCCCTCCCCAGTCACAGAATGGAAATACAACTCTCACACAACCCACTTCACAACTTCCTGAGCTCACAGATTTCTCCAGGAGGATCAGGCCAAATAGTTTGCCAGGCACCGCACAAAAGGATCCACTGTTGGTGAAAGTTTCTTAAAATACAAGCCCAACTCAATAGAACAGTATCTTTATTTTCTTATTTAAAAAAGGTCAGTATATTTGTTTACGTCAGTGTTTCTGCATAACTAAATTAGATTCTAAATTGAGCAGAATCAAGAATTGCCAAGAGTTGCAAGAAAAATAAAAATCTAATATTGGCAGAAGATATCCTTAAAAAGAGCCAATTTAGCCATTTATATATACGTTACAAGGGTGAGAGGAGTACCAGGATCCCAGATGCCTTCCATTGGCAGTAACAGCCTTTATGGTCCACTTTCCTAAAAGAGGAATGTTTAAGATTAGAGGAATTAGCAGAATCAGAGAGTATTTATTTATATATATATATTTATTTGTTTGTTTATTTTGAGATGGAGTCTTGCTCTGTCACCCAGGCTGGAGTAGAGTGGCGCCATCTCATCTCAATACAACCTCCACCTCCCAGGTTCAAGCGATTCTCCTGCCTCAGCCTCCCAAGTAACTGGGATTATAGGCTCACACCACCACAGCCAGCTAAGTTTTATCTTTTAGTAGAGACAGGGTTTCACCACGTTGGCCAGGCTGGTCTCAAACTCCTGACCTCAAGTGATCTGCTCACCTCGGCCTCCCAAAGTGCTGGGATCACAGGCGTGAGCCAGTGTGCCCGGCCAAATACATATATATTTTTTATTTTTGGTGTATGTATTAAATAAATGACACAAATTATGCTTATAAACTGCATGTTAGAGCTATAATGTTTTTAGGAAATGAACTCCATAGTCAATTTCCAAGTTTAAGGAGTTCTTTGTACTTGAAATTGTAATAAATGTAACTGAAATTATAATAAAAAGCTTTAAAAATTATGTACTTTTGTTTTAATTGAATTGTAAGACCTTGATGTATTTTGATTTTAGGAAGACATTTTACAGAGTCTCACATGATGTTCTCATGAACTAGATGAAAAAATAAAAATGTGGGCTTGATAATGGCAGTTGGAGAGTGGTAACACTAATAAACTAATGTCAAGGTGAAAGCAGGTCTCTGAAATACTCGACGGGATTCTCCTCGTGACCCTATGGGCTTCAAATACTTTTTTTTTCTTAAGATGGAGTCTCACTTTTTTGCCCAGGCTGAAGTGCAGTGGCATGATCTTGGCTCACTGCAACCTCCGTCTCCCCCCCGGGTTCAAGTGATTCTCCTGCCTCAGCCTCAGTAGTAGCTGGGATTACAGGCTCACCACCATGCCTGCCTAATTTTTGTATTTTTAGTAGAGACAGGGTTTCACCATGTTGATCAGGCTGGTCTCGAACTCCTGACCTCCAGAGATCTGCCTGCCTCGGCCTCCTAAATACTTCTTCGACTAGTCAGTTGAATAGCAAAGACTAGAGTGTTGCCAATAAGAAGGATAGAAAGAAAGGCATATTACCAATGGCACACATAAGTGTGTGGAATGAACTTCTAAGAATGGTGACAGAAATCATGAGCTCCAAATAAGTAGAACCTTGCAAATACTAGAAACACCCAAACAGACTTTTACAATTCTGCTCTGACAAAAAATGACTCTACTGAGAGAAGGAGTGAGGAGGAACCGTGAGAAAGTGATATTGATGATCTAAATCATCATCTACCATAGCACATCCATAGATAATGTGTGAAATATCTAAATTAAGCAACAGCAAATAGTAGCAATTTATCTAGAGTCATAACAATGGTAATTATCAGAACTGTTGAAATCATTAAAAGTGGTTGATCAGCTCTTCAGAACCATTTGAATTTTAACTTTTTTTTTTTTTTTTTTTGAGAAAGAGCCTTGCTCTGCTGCTCAGGCTGGAGTGCAGTGGCGCGATCTCACCTCACTGCAATCTTTGCCTCCCAGGTTCAAGAGACTCTCCTGTCTCAGCCTCCCAAGCAGCTGGGACTACAGCCCCCGCTACCAGTGGGTCCAGCTAATTTTTGTATTTTTAGTAGAGACGGGGTTTCACCATTTTGGACAGGATGGTCTCGATCTCTTGACCTCATGATCCGCCCGCCTTGGCTTCCCAAAGTACTGGGATTACAGGCGTGAGCCACCGCGCCTGGCCGGAATTTTACTTTTCATACACTTGCATTGATTAATTTGACAAAAATATTTTAAAAGTTAAATTTAGATATTAACTCTCTCCTCTCAAAATAATTGTTTTTAAAGAAAAAACCAGACGTTTTTTCTTCTACTAAAAAGGGACCAGCAATTTGGAAAATGTCAAATTCCAGGTGTGGAGAATAAATGTACAAGATGATCTTAAAACATCTTATCATACCTGATAGGAAGGATGGTGTCAGGAAATTAGAGTCATGACCAAGGGATGGAGGATCCAACTCAAATAGGCTCCCACCGGCTAAAGCTGGAATGATCAAGCACCAAAATGAATAATGATCGCAATGGACTGAAACATCTAAAATCATTTAAATCCATTTGTTCATAATGATACCTAGAAACAACACTTATTCATCACTTCAGGGGACATTAAAGAACCAACTCACATTATTTTGAAAACTGATCAAGGGAGTCAAGTATTTATCTTGCCTATTCTGCACAATAGAGTATGGGTGACATTTTTCTTTATAGAATTATTTCAGCTAATAAATGAAGAAGGAATGACAGAATTATAATGTCTTCATTGCCACCCCTAATCAATCAGTGGATCCGAGATAGGAGGTGGGACTCGATTCCAGAGGTAGAGCTTGGACACTGGACCAAATTGAGTACTAGCTAAAGCAGGGATGAGGTGGAAGCAGCTTTCCATAAGACACACCCACTAGTGTGCCATGTCAGTTTACCATTGCCATGGCAACACCCTGGAGTTACTGCCCTTTTCCGTGGCAATGAGCTGACAACCCAGAAATTACTACCCTTTTTCTGGAAATTTCTTCATAAACCACCCCTTAATCTATATGTAATTAAAAGTAAGTATGAAGGCCAGGGGCAGTGGCTCATGGCTGTAATTCCAGCACTTTGGAAGGCTGAGGCGGGTGGATTGCTTGAGGTCAGGAGTTTGAGACCAGCCTGGCCAACATGGTGAAACCCCGTCTCTACTAAAAATACAAAAAATTAGCCGGGCGTGGTGGCGGGCGCCTATAATCCCAGCTACTCCGGAGGCTGAGGCAGGAGAATGGCGGGAACCTGGGAGGCAGAGCTTGCAGTGAGCTGAGATCGTGCCAATGCACTCCAGCCTGGGCGACAGAGTGAGACTCCGTCTCAAAAAAAAAAAAGAAAAAAATTTGCAAAAAAAATTTAAAAAAAAGATTCCACAAAGAAAAATCTCAATTTATTTGAGAAATGGTAGCTTTGACTAGAAGCAATAAAACTACAAAATAATGACAAAAAGATAGCTTAGTCACATTTTTTATAAAATTACAAGTCTCCTAATTAATAGCAAAATAGAAATTGAAATAACATATTAAGCACTCAATCATGATGATAATACTACATAGTAAAAGTTACAGAATAGGGCTAATGCCAGACGCAGAAGAAAATATACAGCTTTACGTGTTTTAATAAACAAGAAATGGCCAGGCACAGTGGCTCACGCCTGTAATCCCAGCACTTTGGGAGGCTGAGGCGGGCAGATCACGAGGTCAGGAAATCGAGACCATCCTGGCTAACACGGTGAAACCCCGTCTCTACTAAAAATACAAAAAATTAGCCGGGCATGGGGGCAGGCGCCTGTAGTCCCAGCTACTCGGGAGGCTGAGGCAGGAGAATGGCATGAACCCGGGAGGCGGAGCTTGCAGTGAGCCGAGATCGCGCCACTGCACTCCAGCCTGGAGGACAGAGCAAGACTCCGTCTCAAAAAAAAAAAAAGAAAGAAAGAAAGAAAAAGAAAAAGAAAAGGAAAAAAAATTAACTCTAGCAAAATAAAGGTAGGACAAAAGGATTAGTAAACAAAAACTGAAATCAATATAATGAATTCGAGAACAAAGTCATTTATTTCATAAATAAAAACGAGATGATTCTTTAGTTCTTTAAAATGCTCCCAATAATGGGGACAAAACTCTAGCTGCTACTCATATAATAGGTGCATTTGGTTGTTGCCAGGTGAGCCCCCAATGACCATAAACAAGGAGGATTTAACAAGGGGATTTTATTACTTGAAACAAGTAAGGAGGACACCGGAGGTAGTGCCCCAAAGCAGTGCCCCTACAAACAGGCGTGAAAACCGAGCATGTCTTGGGCTGGTCAGCTGAATCATTGCGTGTAGAGAGGGAGTCCTGGCCGCACAGGCACAGCGGCGGATTATGTTTCTACATATGTCGCCTGTATAGAAAATGGAGAATAAGCTCCTCCCTGGGCCGGGTTTTTAAGATTATAACAATAAGAGTTCGCCAAAGTTCATCTCCTACTCAGCCATCTCTGGATCCAACTGTTTTTTGTTTTTCTGGGGCCGAGCTTCTCCAGGAACTTTTTGAAACAACAAGAACTCAAGGTGCAACAGTTACAAGTGGGCACTTTTTCAGTGTGTACCAGAAAACCCAGGGCCCCTGAGTTACATGACCAGTCTATCACAATTTTTTAAAAATAACTAATGGATAACATTGCAAATTTAAAAATAAAACCACAGATTGAAAGAAATGTAAGCAATTATGAGACAGTGCTATATTCAACTTTATGTGAATACATTAAAATCTAGATGAAATAAAGACATTTTCCAGAAAATATAAATCAGTTCCTCCTGTAGGGTATTATAGGTCACACTCATATCAGTGTGGTAGGAGCCTTGACTAGACCTATAACTATGGAACAAACTGAAAATGTCAAAGATAAGCCTCTCCAAAGACACTACACTCAGATGGTTTTACTGGGAAATTCTATAAAATAAAACCATCAGAAATTTTTTTCTATTATGTAAATCATTTTTAAAAAAGAAAATCTTTAAATATCATTCCAAAATGCCTTAATAAGAATCCAGAAGAGTAAAACAGGCAGATTTCATTTATGAACACCAATATAAGTTTTCTAAATAAAATTTTAGCGAATTGAAAAGCATGAAATTTAATCAAGTAGGATTTTTAACCAGAAATATTAAGATAATTCAACATTAAGAATACATTTTTGTAGCTTAATCTCAATAAAATAGCACCCTATCACTTTCTACCTACTTATCCTGCTTCAGTTTTCTTCATGGTACTTGCTGTGGTTTGAGTGTTTGTGTCCTCTCCAAAATCCATGTTGAAACTTAATGCCCAATTTAACAATATTAATAGGTGAGGCCTTCAGGAGGTGATTAAGCCATGAGGGTGGCACCCCCTGTATAGGACTAGGTGCCCTTATAAAAAAAAGGGCTTGAGGGAGGAAGTTCGTTCCTTCTGCCCTTCCACCCTCTGCCAGGGAAGGACACAGGCTTTGACTTTCTTGTTGATTTCTGTTACCTCCAGTGCAGAGGACAGTGCCTGGCACCATCTGCTTAGTAAATGCTGGTTAAGTGAATTTTATTATTATGCTAAGAAGAAAAAATATAAATAATTATAATACATGCTGAAAATAGAGTGATAAAATTCAACATTTGTTTCTGATTCTAAAAGTTAGTAAACTGAGAGCATTTAATTGAAATTATTAGCAAAATGTAATATATAATAGCAAACCACAACAGACATCCATATTAAAATCAGAAACAAAAAAAAGAATACATGCCATGACCACAATTCATTACATTGTTCTGGAAGTTTTACCCAATAAAGTAAAAGGAAATAAGAGTTACATGAAGGAACTTACAAAATTATTATTTACAGATGATATGTGTCAATTTAGTATACTCAAGAGAATATTTAAAAAACAATGGGTTAGTGTCACATGGCATCTTTTTAAATATAAATAAATAAATTGTAAAAATAAAAAACAGGCTGCGCACAGTGGCTCATGCCTGTAATCCCAGCACTTTGGGAGGCTGAGGTGGGCATATCACCTGAAGTCAGGAGTTCAAGACCAGCTGGCCAACATGGTGAAACCCCATCTCTACTAAAAATACAAAAATTATCTGGGCATGGTGGCAGGCACCTGTAATCCCAGATACTCGGGAGGGTGAGGCAGGAGAATCTCTTGAACCCGGGAGGCGGAGGTTGCAGTGAGCCGAGATCGGGCCATTGTACTCCAGCCTGGGTGACAAGGGCGAGACTCTGTCTCAAAATAAATAACTAAAAATAAAAAAACAATGGGAAGCCATTAAAAGGTGCTAAACAGGGCCCAGGTGACATAAGTAGATTTGGCTCTACCCATAAATGAAGAATGGACAGGAGGAGAACAAGCCTGGATACTACTACAATTGTCCTGATGAGAATTGAGACTAGCTCACAATAGCAGGTGCTGGAAGAAATGAATTAGAGAGATATTGTAGAGGTGAAATTCACTGGAAGTTGATGGTAAATTGGTTACTTGGGGTAAGAGAGTAGAAGGTATCTCAGATACCTCCTGTGTGGGGTTATAAATACGAGAGTTCTGGGAAAGAGAGCCGGAGACTCACTATACAGAATGTAGACTCTTCTAATACTCCTGTTTTCAGCCTTGTTCTTCACCCATATTCTTTAATGTGTCTGTGTCTCAAAGTCTGAAGTTTCCTTGGTTTAATTTCTCCAGGGAATAAGCCTCCCATCTCCAGTGGGGTCAGGGGATGGGCTATCTGCCTGGCTGCACAGGACAGGGGTTAGGACTGCTCTTTTTATAGACTTCTAATCAATACCCATGTGTCAGCTCCACCTACTGGGTGGAAACTAGACTCTTTGAGAGTCTGCTTTATGTTCTTTTGGTTATATACCCAGAAGTAGAATTGCTGGATCATATGATAATTATATTTTTTAATTTTTTAAGGAAACTGCATACTGTTTTCCATAGCAGCTGCACCATTTCACATTCCCACTAACAGTGCACAGGTTCCTATTTCTCCCCATTCTCACCAGCGGTTTTTATTTTCTGGGTTTTTTTGGGGTGTGTGTGTGTGTGTGTGTTTATAGTGGCCATCTTAACAGGTATGAAGTAATATCTTATTGTGGGGTTTTTTTTTGTTTTGTTTTTTTGTTTTTGAGAGGGAGTTTTCGCTCTTGTTGCCCAGGCTGGAGTGCAGTGGCACGATCTTGGCTCACTTCAACCTCCACCTTTTGGGTTCAAGCGATTCTCCTGCCTCAGTCTCCCTAGTAGCTGGGATTACAGGCATGCATCACCATGCCCGGGCTCTTATTGTGGTTTTGACTTGCATTCCTTAATGATTAGTGATGTTGAGCACCTTGATATTGAGCACATTTTCATATACCTGTTGGCCATTTGTATATCTTCTTTGGAGAAATATGTATTCAAGTTCTTTACCCATTTTAAAAATTGGGGTACTTGGGGGTTTTTGTTATTGAGTTGTAAGAATTTTTATACATTCTGGATGTTAATCCCTTAACAGATATATGGTTTGCAAATATTTTCTCCACTTCCATAGATTGCTGTTTTACTGTATCAATTGTTTCCTTTCCTACTTTTTAAAGTTTGGTATAGTCCCACTTGTCCATTTTTGCTTTGGTTGTCTGCACATTTGTTGTGATATCCAAGAAATCACTGCCAAATCCAATGTCATGAAGCTTTTCCTCTATAGTTTCTTTGAGGAGTTTTATAGTTTCAGGACTTACTTTTGGTCTATTCCATTTTTAGCTAACTTTTGTATATGATCTAGAGTAAGGGTCCAACTACATTCTTTTGCATGTGGATATCCAGTTTTCCCAGCCCCATTTGTTGAAGAGACTATCCTTTCCCCATTGTGCAGCCTTGTCATCCTTGTCAAAGATCATTTGACCTTGTATGTGAGGTTTTGTTTGTGTTTTATGCATTCTGTTCCATTGGTCTAAATGTCTGTCTTTATACCAGTACTACACGATTTTGACTACTGTAGGTTTGTAGAATGTTTTGAGATCAGGAAATATGAGGCCTCCCATTTTGTTTTTCTTTCTCAAGATTGTTTTGGCTATGCATGGTTCTTTTGCAATTCCGTATAAATTTTAGGATGGGTTTTTCTATTTCTGCAAAAAATAACATTGATATTTTAATAGGGATTGCATTAAATCTGTAATTGTTTTGAGTAGTATGAGGATTTTAACAATCTTAAGTCTCACAATCCATCAACACAGCTGTCTTCTTATTGATTTGTATCTTCTTTCATTTATTTCAGCAATGTTTTGTAGTGATTTCTGTAAAAGTCTTTTACCTTTTTAGTTAAGTTTATTCCTAAGTATTTTATCTTTTTAATGCTATTGTAAGTGGAAGTGTTTTCTTTTCTTCCTTGGATTTTTTTCTTAATTATTCGTTGCTAGTATATAGGTACACAACTGATTTTTGCATGTTGTTTTTGTGTCCTGCAGCTTTGCTGAATTCATTTATTAGTTTTTTGTGTGTGGGGGGGGGGGGAGTTGTTTGTTTATTTGTTTGTTTTTGTTTTTGTTTTGAGACTGCGTCCCACTCTGTCGCCCAGGCTGGAGTGCAATGGAGTGATCTCAGCTCACTGCAAGCTCCACCTTCCGGGTTCACGCCATTCTCCTGCCTCAGCCTCCCTAGTAGCTGGGACTACAGGCGCCCCCCACCGTGCCCAGCTAATTTTTGTATTTTTAATAGAGACGGGGTTTCACCATGTTGGCCAGGATGGTCTTGATATCTTGACCTTGTGATCCACCCACCTCGGCCTCCCCAAGGGCTGGGATTACAGGCGTGAGCCACCGTGCTCGGCCTGTTTGTTTGTTTTTGAGATGGGGCCTCACTCTGTTGCCCAGGCTAGAGTGCCGTGGCACGATCTCAGCTTGCTGCAACCTCCGCCTCCCAGGTTCAAATGATTCTCATGCCTCATCCTCCCGCATAACTGGAATTACAGGCACCTGCCACCACGCTTGCCTAATTTTTTTGTATTTTCAGTAGAGATGGAGTTTTGCTATGTTGGCCAGGCTGGTCTCAAACCCCTGACCTCAAGCAACCCACCCGCCTCAGCCTACCAAAATGCTGGGATTACAGGCGTGAGCCACCACACCTGGTCCATTTATTAGTTTTAACAGTTTGTGTGTGTGTGTCTAATCTTTAGGAATTCTACGTGTAAGATCATGTCATCTGGGAATAGAGATAATTTTACTTCTTCCTTTCCAATTTGGATAACTTTTATTTCTTTTTATTGCCTAATTGCTCTGGCTAGGACTTCCATGACTATGCTGAATGGAAGTAGCAAAAGTGGGCATCTTTGCCTTGATCCTGATCTTAGAAAGCATTCAGTTTTTTACCATTGGGTATGATGTAAGCTGTAAGCTTTTATATACGGCCTTTTATTATGTTGAGGCAATTTCCTTCTAGTCCTTGTTTGTTGAGTGTTTTTCTCACAAAAGCATGTTGAAGTTTTCAAATATTTTTTATCCATCAATGGCTTTTGTCCTCCATTCAGTTAATGTGTTGTATTATGGTAACTGGCTTTTTTTTTTTTTTTTTTTTAGGACAAGATCTGGCTCTATTTCCCAGGCTGGAGTGCAGTGCAGTGGCGTGATCTTGGCTCACTGCAACCTCCACCTCCTGGGCTCAATTCATCCTCCTACCACAGCCTCCCAAGTAGCTGGGAATACAGGCATGCACCACCATGCCCAGCTAATTTTCATATTTTTTATAGAGACAAGGTTTTGCCATGTTGGCCAGGCTGGTCTCAAACTCGTGAGCTCATGCAATCTGCCCACTTAGGCTTCCTAAAGTGCTGGGATTACAGGCATGAGCCACTGCTCCAGCCTGATTGACTTTTATATGTTGAAACATTCTTGTATTTCAGGAGTAAGTTCCTCTTGGTTATGGTGTATAATCCTTTTAATGTGCCATGAATTCAGTTTGCTAGTATTTTGTTGAGGATTTGGGCATCAATATTCAGGTATATTGGTCTATGGTTTTCTTGTAGTGTCTTTGTCTAGTTTTGGAATCAGGATAATGCTGGCCTCATGGAAAGTTTGGAAAATGTGAAGGATTTCTGTTAATTCTTCTTAGATTTTTCGTAGAATTCTCTAGTGAAGCCATTTGGTCCTGGGCTTTTCTTTGTCGGGAGGTTTCTGATTACTGATTCAATCTACTAACTAGTTACAAATCGTTCAGATCTGCTATTTCTTCAAAACTCAGTATTGGTAGGTTGTATTTTTCCAGCAATTAATCCATTTGTTTTAAGTTATCCAGTTTGTTGGTGCATAATTGTTCATAACAGTATGATCCTTTTTATTACTGTGGCATCATTTGTAATGTCTCCTCTTTCACTTCTGAATTTTGTTGAGTCTTCTCTATTGTCTTGTTGATCTAGCTAAAGGTTTGCAAATTTTGTTAATTTTTTGTTTGTTTGTTTTGATTTGTGAACCGAAGTCTTGCTCTGTTGCCCAGGCTGGAGAGCAGTGGTGTGACCTCTGCTTACAGCAACCTCCACCTCCTGGGTTCAAATGATTCTCCTGCCTCAGCCTCCCCAATAGCTGGGATTACAGGTGCCTGCCACCATGCTTGGCTAATTTTTGTATTTTTATTAAAGACGGGGTTTTGCCATTTTGGCCAGCTTGGTCTCGAACTCCTGACCTCAGATGATCCACCCACCTTGGCCTCCCAAAGTGCTGAGATTACAGGCATGAGCCACTGCACCTGGCCAGACTTTTGTTGATATTTTTAAAAAACCTAACTTTTAGTTTTGTTGACTTCTTGGTATTGGCTTTCTAGTCTCTTTTATTTCTACTCTAATCTTTAGTACTTCCTTTCTTCTGCTAACTTTGGGTCTGGTTTGTTCTTTTTTTAGTTCTTTGAGGTATAAAGTTAGGTTGTTTATTTGAGATCTTCTTTAGTAATGCATTTTATATTATATACTGCTCTAAACTTCCCTCTTAGCATCTTATGGGATGCTTTACTGCATCCCCATAAGTTTTGGTGTGTTTTGTTGTTTGTTTTCATTTTTCTCAAGATGTTTTCTAATTTCCCTTGTGATTTCTTCTTTGACTCATTTGTTGCTCAAGAATATGTCATTTTGTTTTCACATATTTGTGAAGTTTTTTGTTTTCCTTTGCTGTTGATTTCTAGTTTCATTCCATTGGGTTTGGAAAAGATATTTGGTATGATTTAAATATTCTTAAATTTGTTGAGACTTGTTTTCTGTCCCAAAATATGATCTATCTTGGAGACTGTTTTTGTGCGCCCTTGAGAATAATGTATACTTTTGCTCCTGTAAAGTAGAATGTTCCACATATGTCTGTTTGGTCCAACTGGTCTGTAATGGATCTTATTGTGTAAATACAATAAGGTCTTTTGTTATTGATCTTCTATCTGATTGTTCTATTTAATATTGAATGTGGGGTATTGAAATCTCCTACTGTTGCGTTACTTTCTATTTCTTCCTTCAGTTCTGTCAATATTTTCTTCATATGGTTGGATGCTTTGCTCTTAGATGCATATATATTTATACTTGTTACATCTTTCTAATGAAGCGAACCTTTTATCATTATATAATGTTCTTCTTTGTCTCTTAGGACAATTTTTGGCTTAAAGTCAGTTTTCTCTGATATAAGTAGGGCTGCTCTGGCTCTTTTTTGGTTACCATTTGCCTGTGTTAACAAAAGATCAATGAGTTCTGTGGAGGAAAAGGGGGAACTTTATTTTCTAAAAGCAATCTGCAGATTGGAGAGATGCAGCCTTCAGTGCAAAATCGAAGTGTGACCTGAGGTGGGAGTTGGAAAGTTGGAGATTATAAAGGCCAAAAACACAGGGCAGGGGAGGGGAATCAGGGGAGTGGGGAACAGAGTCTTGATTAAATGACCATTTCACCAGTCTGTCTTAATTAGCTGGTTCCAGGTGTTCAGTTGGGAGGCACCAGGTGGTCTGTTGGGGTCAATTGAAGAATTTCTAGCTGCAGTTATTTTCAGAAATTGTTCTTTGACTTGGTTGTGGAAAAACAGGTTTTATAATGCTTTCCAAGGACACAGAAAGTGTGACCATTTCTTCACCCTGCCATATAACTCTTGGTTCTGCTTTCATCTTTTCAGCCACAGGGAGTCCATCTTGTCTGTTAAGCAGGGGCATAATTTGACACATGGAATATCTTTGTCTATCCTTTAATGTTCAGCCTATGTGTGTCCTTATACTAATGTGAATCTCCTATAGACAGTGTATACCTGAAACTTGTTTTCTTATTCATTCAGTCACTCTATATCTTTTTATTTGGAAGTTTAATCCATTTACGTCTAAAGCAATCACTGATAGGGAAGGAATCACTATTGCTGTTTTGTTATTTTTTTCTGTACATCTTGTAGTTATTTTGTCCTTCTTTTCCTCTCTTACTGCATTCCTTTGTTTTTAGTTGTGTGTGTTTGTTTTTGTTTTGGTGGTGTGCTTTGATTCCTTTTTCATTTTCTTTGTGCATCCTCAATGCACATTTTCTTTGTGATTACCATGAATAATTTATAAAATATCTTATACTTTTTTTTTTTTTGAGATGGAGTCTCATTCTGTAGCCCAGGCTGGAGTGCAACGGTGTGATCTCAGCTCACTGCAACTTCCACCTCTCAGGTTCAAGCAATTCTCCTGCCTCAGCTTCCCAAGTAGCTGGGATTACAGGTGCCTGCCATCATATGGTGGCTGATTTTCATATTTTTGTACAGATGGCATTTCACCATGTTGGCCAGGCTGATTTTAAGCTCCTGACCTCAGGTGATCCATTCACCTCGGCCTCCCAAAGTGCTGGGATTACAGGCATGAGGCACAATGGATGGCTAAAATATCTTATAACAATCTATATTAAACTGATAATGACAATGTCAATCACACACAAAATCTCAAGTCATTTATATATCCCCACCACTGTATGTTATCAACTTCACAAATTACATCTTTTTACTACTTTATATACTTTAAATGTAGTTTTATTGTTATAATTATTTCTGTTTTGTCTTTTAAATTGTATACCAGAATTGATTTATGCACCACCATTACAATACTACAGAATTCTGTATTTGTCTACATACATACCTTTTCATAGAGCTTTATAATTTCATATGCTTTTGTGTTGCTTTCTAGAGTTCTAGAGTCCTTTCTTTTCAACTTATAGGACTTCCTTTAGCAATTCCTTCAAAGCAGGTCTAGTGATGATAAACTCCCTCAGCGTTTGTTTGTCTGGGAAGGGCTTTATTCTTCTTTCATTTTTGAAGGACACTTTCACCAAATATAGTGTTTTTGGTGGACAGCTTTGTCTTTTCCTTTTTTTTTTTTTTTTTTTTTTGATGGAGTCTTGCTCTGTCACCAGGCTAGAGTGCAGTGGCATGATCTTGGCTCACTGCAACCTCCACCTCCTGGGTTCAAGTGATTCTCCTGCCTCAGCCTCCCAAGTAGCTGGGACTACAGGCATGCACCACCATGCCCAGCTAATTTTTGTATTTTTAGTAGAGACAGGGTTTCACCATGTTGGCCAGGAGGGTCTCAATCTCTTGATCTTGTGGTCCGCCCACCTTGGCCTCCCAAAGTACTGGGATTACAGGTGTGCACCACTGCGCCTGGCCTGGACAGCTTTTTCTTTCAGCATTTTGAATATATTATCCCATCCTTTTCTGGTCTGTAATGTTTCTGCTGAGAAATCTGCTGATAATGTTACAGGGACTTCCTTTTATGTGACCAGTGGCTTTTCTCTTGCTGTTTTTAACATTCTTTACCATTGACTTTTGAAAACTTGATTGTAATGTGTCTTGGTTTGGGGCTCTTCGGGTTCATCTCACTTGGAATCCTTTGATATTCTTGAATTTAGATGCCTATTTCCTTCCTCAGATTTGTGAGTTTTCAATCATTTAATCTTCAAATATCCTCTCTGTCCCTTTCTCTCTCTTCTTCTTCTGAGACTCTCATAATGTATATATTGTTCCACTTGATGGTATCCCATAAGTCCCTTAGGCTTTCTTTACTTTTCTTCATTCCTTTTTCTTTTTGTTCCTCTAACTCAATAATTTCAAATGACCTATGTTCATGTTTGCTGATTCTTCAGTTTCATCAACTCTATTATTGAATTCCTTTAGTGCATTTCTAAAATTCAGATATAGTATTCTTCAGCTTCAGAATTTCTGTTTTTTTAATAGTTTCTCTTTGTTGATATTCTCATTGTGTTCATGCATCATTTTCCAGATTTTGTTTTCTTTATTCTCTTATGGTTCATTGAGCTTCTTCAAGATGATTATTCTAAATTATTTGTTAGGTAAGTCATTATTTGGTGTTTCTTTAAGGTTGATTTCAGGATATTTTGTTCCTTTCATAGGACCATCTTTTCCTGTTTCCTGGTGTGCCTTGTTGTTGTTGTTGTTGTTATTATTTTGCTACGATTTGTGCACTTAAAAAAACAGCTATCTCTCCTAGTCTTTATAGACTAGCTTCGTATGTGAAAGGTCTTCACCAATCAGCACAGTTAAAAATTCTGAGAGCTTCTTGAACCTTTTCTGGGGATGCATCTTCTCTGGGCTTGTGTAAGTTATTTCCCAATTAGAGTGGTTTGCCAGTTTTTTTTTTTCTTCCAGGAGTTTATAATCTCTTTCTCCTTCTGTCTGTGGTACTGCAAGTTCTCTGGCACTGCAGTAAGCCATTGAGCTCTTTTGTTCTCAGTAGCCCCTAGGGATGGAAAATATACTGGCTCTGTCAGCACTGTGAGTTAGGTGAGGAAAAAAACCAGTCACTGGAACAGCCCCCTGAAAAGTCATGTGTTCCTTTCTTCTCTTTCCCTCCCAAGGTAGAAACTGTCAGTTGGGCTTTTTCTCCTGAAAGCACCAAGCTGTGCTGGCTTGAGGGAGGAGGGATCATGGGTGAAATTAAATGGCTTTTCTTACCTGTTTCACGGACTATTCTTGGCTTTGAGCTTGCCTGCTGTCCTATGACTTCTTAACTGGTTTCTGGAGTTCTCAAAAAGGCTTTTTTGATCATTTATAATTAAATCATTGTCCCTGTGAGGGAATGCAGTCTGAGGCTTCCTATTCCATCATCTTGCTCTGTGCTCAGCCTTTGATTTTTTTATTCTGTATATTTGTTATTGTTTGAATATTTTACATCCATCACGTTAAAATTAATGTGAAGAAAAGTATCCAAATCTAAATGGGCTTTTTTTGTTTTTTGTTTTTTTTGAGACGGAGTCTCACTCTGTCACCCAGGCTGGAGTGCAGTGGCGCGATCTTGGTGCACTGCAAGCTCCGCCTCCCGGGTTCACACCATTCTCCTGCCTCAGCCTCCCGAGCAGCTGGGACTACAGGCCCCCGCTACCACGCCCAGCTAATTTTTTGTATTTTTAGTAGAGACAGGGTTTCACTGTGTTAGCCAGGATGGTCTCGATCTCCTGACCTCGTGATCCACCCACCTCAGCCTCCCAAAGTGCTGGGATTACAGGTGTGAGCCACCGCACCCAGCCTAAATGTTTTAAATATTGAAGGAAAAATATTTCGTTTCCAAGAAAGGAAAGTATATAAGGGCCCTTGGTTTTATTGCTATAATTTATACTAAAGCACAGTAAGAATTAGCCTATATTCATGTATATTACACAAACCTCCCACTATTGTGAGCTTTCCCAAATTCCTGCAGCCTTAATAAAAATGTAAAAGGGTGCTGTTATAGTATAAAAAATAAATTAACAATGGCCAGGCGTGGTGGCTCACGCCTGTAATCCCAGCACTTTGGGAGGCCGAGGCAGGTGGGTCACTTGAGGTCAGCCTGGCCTTAGATGAAACCCCATCTGGTCAGCTGAGACCAGCCTGGCCAACATGGTGAAACCCCATCTCTACTAAAAATACAAAAATTAGCCAGTGTGGTGGTGGGCACCTGTAATTCCAGCTACTTGGGCAGCTGAGGCAGGAAAAATCACTTGAACCCAGGAGGTAGAGGTTGCAGTGGGCTGAGACTGCACCATTGCACTCCAGCCTGGGCAACAAGACTGAAATTTCGTCTCAAAAAAAAAAAAAAGAAAAGAAAAGAAAGAGGCCGGGAGCAGTGGCTCACGCCTGTAATCCCAACACTTTGGGAGGCCGAGGCGGGTAGATCACGAGGTCAGGAGATCAAGACCATCCTGGCCAACAGGGTGAAGCCCCATCTCTACTAAAAATACAAAAAAAAAAAAAAATAGCGGGGCGTGGTGGCTGGAGCCTGTAGTCCCAGCTACTCGAGAGACTGAGGCAGGAGAATCACTTGAACCCTGGAGGCAGAGATTGCAGTGAGCCGAGATCTCGCCACTGCACTTCAGCCTGGGCGACAGAGTGAGACTCTGTCTCAAAAAAAAAAAAAAAAAAAAAGAGAAAGAAAGAAATTAACAATGCAAATTATTATGAAGCAGACATTTAAGATATCCCTTATCCATATAGATAATTAGGAAATAAATTGATTTATTAAATTTTGTTTCTTCTTTTGTGCTTTAGGCATTAGGATTTTTGTCTTCTTATGGAATAGGAATGGAATATGATCAAGCTAAGGTAAAGATCATTCTGTTTTATTCTGGAACAAAATTGATTTCTCTAAAAGGGACATTGAATAAAATCTACTCATTAAGTAAAGGGGCTCACTCTAGTGTAGTAGTTGAAAACACCAACTTAATAGTCAAAGAAATTTAGTGTTCTTATGCCATAAGTTTCTTAAAGCCTCATGAGTCAGCCTCTTCATTGAAGATAGATAATATCTGCTTCATAAGGAAATTATGATGATTAAATGAAATATCTTATACAATGCCCTTATCACAGACTCCAGAGATTAGTTAACCCCTAATAAATGGCAAACATCTTTACAAAGGAGAGTGAAATTTGAAATTTATTTTGGAGTAACTCAATGGGTCATTATGGAGCTAGGAATAAAAATGGAATACTTGGTTTGAGTTTCAAATTTAAATGGCCAACCTGGTTTGGGGGGTTTTTTGTTTGTTTGTTTTTACTTTAGGCACTGATATATTACACCTTTGGAAGTGCTGGAGGAAACATGATGTCCCAGATGATTTTGGTTTGTAAACAAAATATTCTTGGAACCAAATTTGTATGCCATAAATACAGCATTGTCTTGAATATTAAGAATGCATCTGTCTGTGTTTTAGGGGTACAGATATTTGTCGGGAATCAATGTTCTACAGAATTGTGAAGTTGCCCTAAGTTATTACAAGAAAGTGGCAGATTATAGTAAGTAATCCACATAATTTATTTTAAAATAAACAGTTGCCAAGGAATTAGAAAAATAAATCAATAACAGTTCAATTGATATAAACTTATGAAAATATCAAAAGTGTACGTTTTTAATATGTTATAATACAATTCTTTTAACATAATACAGTTTCTGTTTCCTTAATAGTTACTTTCCAAATGGTTTTAAAAGATTATACTCATTTTTTATTTTTGTTAATATGTATCCCCAAACAATTCTGTTTTACTTGCCTTTGTGATGTTCTTTCCTTACTGAGAATTTGAATGTAGCACCGATAAATATTAAGCAGTTTCCCTAAATATAACATTCAGAATATGGGATGACTGCCAAAAATTCCTAAAGGAATGAATGTAAGGTATACATTGGAGGTATCTGTCACCACATATGAGAACAATTCAAGCAACCATTAGTCTAAATGTAATCAGAATAATGTCTAAGCACACATCTTTGGCATTATTAGGATCTGAGAAAAGAAAGAAGGAGGAAAAAAACTAGTTTTGAATTTAAGATGCTGTATATAATGAGATCATTTCATGTGTTTAATGAAATTGGAATTACTATATATATTTCAAACTGCACACTTTGTTAGGTGTATTCAAGCATATCTATCTTTATATTTATTTTCAGACTATCCATAGGAAGTAATTAAAGAGCAGTGATTATTCCTATATTATAGTCTTAGTCCCAGAAAAAAATTATGAATGGAATGAGTTATCTGCTCCTAAAATATCCCCTTTCCTTGAGTCTTTTTGGTCAAGATCTTCAGTAGAGTCTGATATAAGTTGATACCATACTTGTATAGGTTGCAAAGAAGAACTAGAGAACCCAATAAACAAAAATTGCACTTTTTTTTTTTTTTGAGACAGAGTATCCCTCTGTCATCCATGTTGGAGCACAGTGGCTCAATCTCGGCTCACTGCAGCCTCTGCCTCCTGGGTTCAAGTGATTCTCATGCCTCAGCTTCCCAGGTATCTGGGATTACAGGTGTGCACCACCATACCTGGCTAATTTTTGTATTTTTAGTAGAGACGGGGTTTCACCATGTTGGCCAGGCAGGTCTCAAACTCCTAACCTCAAGTGATTTGCCCGCCTCTGCCTCCCAAAGTGCTGGGATTACAGACATGAGCAACCGCACCTGGCCAAAAATCTGAAAATTTCTATTTTTCATGGATCTTCTGTCTCTATTAGTTGAACAGATTTCTGCACAATTTAAGATAATAAGCTAACGGTGTTTTCTCTAAATTGACTGTTATCTCTTGCAGCCTCTGTTTTCTAGCTATTCTCTGGCTTGTTTTTATTCACAGTTGCTGACACATTTGAAAAAAGTGAAGGTGTTCCAGTGGAAAAAGTGAGACTAACGGAAAGACCTGAAAATCTGAGTTCTAACAGTGAGATTTTGGATTGGGACATATACCAATACTATAAATTTTTGGCAGAAAGAGGAGATGTTCAGATACAAGTAATGTATACAGATGAGATTGAGTTTTTAGAACATGAAAATTACAAGGGGCTTAATTCTTTCTGAGTCCTGGAGGGATGAACAATGCCCCATCCTAAATAGGAATGGGGGGAGACCCGCCCTCCTCTCTCACCCTACTCCTGTTTTGTTCCCTGCTACTTACAGTTCCTGTAGCCCACTGGAGAACTAGTTGCCATAATAATAGCAACTTTTTTGCATTTCTTCCTTAAAAATTAATTTTTTTTTTTTTTGAGTTGGAGTCTCACTCTGTCGCCCGGGCTGGAGTGCAGTGGCACAATCTCGGCTCACTGCAAGCTCCGCCTCCCGAGTTCACACCATTCTCCTGCCTCAGCCTCCCAAGTAGCTGGGACTACAGGTGCCCACACCACCACGCCTGGCTAATTTTTTGTATTTTTAGTAGAGACAGGGTTTCACCATGTTAGCCAGGATGGTCTCGATCTCCTGACCTCGTGATCTGCCCATCTCGGCCTCCCAAAGTGCTGGGATTACAGGCGTGAGCCACTGCGCCCAACCCCAATGTTGGTTTTAGTATGAATAAACTACGGCAATCCAGAAAGGTTCTGTTTTTGGGAATGGGACAGTATTTGCATGATCTTTGAGAGCCAAGAGCTAAGGCCCCTAGCTTTATGTGCCTGGGTGTTTCTGTACCCCAGAAGACCAGCTTCCAGCCACTAAGGAAGCCATATGTCCAGCAGCAACCAATTACCCAATAAATGATATAGTCTGGAATGTTTCCCTGATTTTTTCAGGACATTTCAAACGTGTCCAACAATCAACATACTAAAGTAAAATCACCACATAAATGTTTTCTTTATTTAAAGTAATACTGCTGCTAAAATCATTTCCAAACTCATCATTCCTAGGTCTCTCTTGGACAATTACATCTAATTGGCAGGAAAGGTCTAGATCAGGATTACTACGTAAGTCAATCTCAAGATCCAGTCAAATGGGGTGGGGAAGGTAGTGGTGAGGGAGGCTGGCAGGGAAGTGAAAGCAGGGGGAGGGAGAGGTGGAAGAGTTGCTCAGAAAGCCCACTGATGCTTCCTTGGTCAGCTATGCTTCCCAGCTTCTTAGGAAGAACTAAGTTCTCCAGAGGGAGCACTTACCCACCTGCCTTCAAGAACAAAGGGGAAGGGACTTCTGAGGAGCAATCGAGGCAGGGGGGTATCCATGTTCCAACAGAACCTAGTTCTGCGCACTCACACGCACTTTGGGCTGGGATTAGGAGAGAGAATATCCCCACCTGCCGGCCTGCACACAAGGCCAGCTGCAGAGTCCACCTGGGGATCACCGTTAAGGAGTCTGAGAGGCAACTTCATCCCCATTTGGCTATATCAGAAGACAGATTGCTTTTAATATAATTAAAAATATATTAAACATCCTTATACATTTGCAAAGCTCTTTTCAATCATTTTGCTTAACCTTACCTTATCCCAGTGAGGTTAAAAGGTTAATTAACCGGCCAGGTACGGTGGCTCATGCCTGTAATCTCAGCACTTTGGGAGGCTGAGGCAGGCGGATCACGAGATCAGGATATTGAGTCCATCCTGGCGAACACGGTGAAACCCCGTCTCTACTAAAATTACAAAAAATTAGCCGGGCGTGGTGGCACGTGCCTGTAATCTCAGCTACTCGGGAAGCTGAGGCAGGAGAATCACTTGCACCTGGGAGGCACAGGTTGCAGTGAGCCCAGATCATGCCACTGCACTACAGTCTGGGTGACAGAGCCAGACTCCCTCTAAAAATAAAAAAATAAAAAAAATAAATAAGTTAATTAACCATTCAAATGTGTAGCGAAGAAAAAAGCAAATGAACAAATGAACTTCACCTTGACATACACAGGATCCTCCTCTGTAAGATGCCAGGGTCATGGGATGAGTTCTTGCTTAGATTTTGATAGTGGTTTCAAGGCCCTACATCACCACAGACCTGGGAAGTAACTGGATTTTTTTTTTTAAAGATGATTTTGCTGCTCTTTTCATTTATAGGAGCCACATGCTCCTTGTCTCAAAGGAACATGTAGCCTATTTCAACATAGTCCCAATGGCTAAGTGATAGAAACAACTTTATAAGGCTATTACGTAAAAAAGTAATCTGTTACTACTTTGCATTTCATTTTGTGTTATTTTATGGATGTGTCTTTGGTACTATAATTTGTATTTTATATGAGATCCAGTAAACATCAGGTAAATGTCGAAGTCATTTCATAAACTGTGATAAAATAGGTAGGAATTTAAATAAGCATACGCACCCCAAGACAGCTCGGTTGAAGATCCATAGATTTTCTTTCATCTTAATCATAACCAAAGTTCTAGCTTCTTAGATGGAAATATCTGGATTCATAATTTTACTCTGTCAGATTTCAGCCTGCAATGAGTTTCTCATGTTAATCATAGAATATGTAACTAGGAAGACGTCCTCATTTTCCATAAACATGAAATTTGGATGTGAGGGCATCCTAGCTTCAGCTGTAGGG
This sequence comes from Homo sapiens, assembly GCF_000001405.40. Taxonomy (NCBI): domain Eukaryota; kingdom Metazoa; phylum Chordata; class Mammalia; order Primates; family Hominidae; genus Homo; species Homo sapiens. The sequence goes on along the minus strand of NW_025791811.1, from coordinate 92,341 downwards.
AAGACAAACCAATCTTTGTACAGTGCAATAAAATCCCACTAAGTTGGTACTTCAGTCAGCTCCAGCCACTGTGGTCACCAGATGGCAGCTGCAGCTGCCTCCAGGTGAGGATGAAGTGCAATCCCAGGGCTGCTGTTGCAGGATCCCAGAGCTGTTGTGTAGCAGCCAGGCAGCTGAGTGTCACCCAGGAGCCCAGCCAGGATCTCCTGTGGGCTCATTCACGAGGTTTTATTACATCTGTTTTACAAATGAGAAGCAGAGGCTGGAGACATAAAGTAAATTGCTTCAAGGCTCACAGCTGGGAAGTAAGATTGTTTAAGAAGCAGAATTTGAACTCAGGCCTTCAGAAATCAAAACCTGAGCTTTTTACATTAAACTTTATTTGACCCAGGCCAAAACAAAAAACAGCCTCTAAAATCTGTTCCCTCATTTATAAAGCAAGAAGAAGAAATGACATGATCTCTCAGTTTCCTTTAGCTCTTCCTGATAGTGGGTTGGGCCTCCTGCTTCCACATATCCCAAGAAGACGAGTTTAATTCCAGAACCATCCTTGTGATGCAGGTACTCTTTGCGGGTAAGCACAGGCTGGTCCTTTCTTCTCCCCTCAGCCTAATGACCCTGAACTTGAATGGAGAACTCCAGTTGAAATCTCAAACTTTAAGACAAATTGAGGCCAGGCGCGGTGGCTCACGCCTGTAATCCCAGCACTTTGGGAGGCCGAGGCGGGCGGATCACGAGGTCAGGAGATCGAGACCATCCTGGCTAAAACGGTGAAACCCCGTCTCTACTAAAAACACACAAAAAAAATTAGCCGGGCGTAGTGGCGGGCGCCTGTAGTCCCAGCTACTTGGGAGGCTGAGGCAGGAGAATGGCGTGAACCCGGGAGGCGGAGCTTGCAGTGAGCCGAGATCCCGCCACTGCACTCCAGCCTGGGCGACAGAGCGAGACTCCGTCTCAAAAAAAAAAAAAAAAAAAAAAGACAAATTGACTTATCTATCAGTTATCTTTGTCTGCATTTTTAAAAAAATAGTCCCAAACTTAGGTGGTTTTCAATAATAACCATTTATTTAATTCATGATTTTGGCAGGTCAGCAATTTTGGTTAGCCTCAGCTGAGCAATTCTGATCTGGGCCAGGCTCAGCTAATCTTAGCTGGGCTTGCTCATGCATCTGCAGTTAGCTGGAACATTAGCTAGAGCTGGCTGGTTTATGATGGCTTCATCTGTGACTGCGAGAATGACTGGGGCCCCTCTCCATGTGGTCTCATGCTTTAGCCAACTGGCCCAAGCTTTCCACATGGCAGTCAAAGTTCTAAGAACACCAGAGCAGAAGTCTCTTGAGGCCTGAGCTCAGAACTGACAAGTCACTTCTGCCACATTCTTTTGGCCAAAGCAAATCACAAGGCCAGCAAACTTGGAGGGGTAGGGAAATGGGCTTCTCCTCTCAATGGGCAGAGCTGCAAAGTACTGTGGTCATTCTTGCAACATACCATAGTGTAGCTGCTCCAGAATCAACTTGGAATGGCAGGGGAGATACATAAGGGAGAGGGAAGATACAAAGATAAATCCAGTTTCCAAAAGGCTATTACTGCAGCTCTTTTCATACCTCGCTTCTCATCTTTCCAAGTCTCTCCTCCTCAGACAGGATAATGTTTTCTTTTCTTTTTATTTTCTTTTTTAATTGACTCATAATAATTGTACATATTTATGGGATACAATGTGATGTTTTGATCATTACATAATATATTCATTATGTAATATATACATATGTATGCAAATGTAGTGTATACATTATGTAATGATCAAACCAGGGTAATTTGCAAATCCATCACCACAAATACTTGTCATTTCTTTGGGGTGAGAACATTCAAAATCCTCTCTTCTAGTTATTTTGAAATATACAATATCTTATTTTTAACTATAGTCCTCAGCCTGAAGACCACCACTTGAGCCAGCATGCTAATATTTCAGTCCACCAAAGAGAATTATTAGTATAAGTCTCTCTTTAAATATGATGCTCCAGTCCACTGCTCAGAAAATTAAATTTCAAGATACCTGGAAATGACTAGCTTGCCTTTCTTTTCCTTCCTCACTGTTTGGTTGAACTAATCTCTCTCATGAGTTGTCATCACAGAAAACGTTTTTACCCTCTCCCTGACCAAATTCTTAATTAGTGAAAAATATTGTATATGCAATTCTTGATTACATTATCTTGGATTTTCTACACATAGATTTTAATTTTATTTGCATTTCTAAATATATGAAGGCTCAGAATAAATTGGATTAGGAAAGCGGGATGTTTGGGTGAATATTATTAAAATGGATAAAGCGTAATTAAATTAAACCTAGCAGAGGAATAATATCAAATTTGTAAGGGCAACTGCTTTGTCTATCCTACCACCCATTTAAAAATTTAGAAAAAGAGCTAATACCATCTTTTCTCAGGATGTTCTACAGAGCAAGAGATAAAAGAAGTATTCAGGCCAGGCACGGTGGCTCACGCCTGCAATCCCAGTACTTTGGGAAGCTGAGGCGGGCAGATCATGAGGTCAAGAGATTGAGACCATCTTGGCCAACATGGTGAAACCCCGTCTCTACTAAAAATACAAAAATTAGCTGGGCATGGTGGTGCACGCCTGTAGTCCCAGCCACTCAGGAGGCTGAGGCAGGAGAATCGCTTGAATCTGGGAGGCAGAGGTAACAGTGAGCTGAGATTGCGCAACTGCCCTCCAGCCTGGCGACAGAGTGAGACTCCATCTCAAAAAGAAAATACATATATATTCATAAATGTTTTTAGAACAGTACATTTTCTTGGCATTTCATTCTAGGGGAAATGTTACAAACTGGTTAAACTACAGATTTTCTTAGAGCCAATGAAAAATCATGATCATTTTTTAAAAAGAGAGATATGGGTCCAAATAATAAAACTTTACTTACTTAGTGTAATACCTGGGGCGTACTATATTTCATACTAAGACACCACCAATTGTAAGACACACAAGTATTTTATGTTCTGAGGAAGAAAAAAAGAAAACTTACCAATATATATTATAATATGTCCTGATGGAAGTGAGGTGGGAGGAGATGTACATCTTAGAATCAGTGAAATATGATGTTGGGTGCTCAGTTAATATTTGAAGGAAGGATGGATGAATGGATGGATGGATGGATGGATGGATGGATGGATGGATGAGTACTTGATCTTAACTCTTCAAGAGCAAGAACTCAGGTTGGCTCGTGTATATCCATCAAGGTAGCTTGCTTGGTGGTAGTTTCACGTGGTGTTTAATAAAGGTTTATATAGTTGAAGCAATAGTATTAAGGACATGTAAATTTAAAAATGAGAAAAAAAAAGGGAATGAAATACTAAGTAAGCCATGACAGTGGAGCAGTGTATGAGACAGAGTCTCAATTCCTTTAGGTCTTTATCAAATCATTATATTTAAGGGTGGGGAAAACTCCAGGATTTATATTTGCTTCAGGAGAACAAGTTACTTTCTTTTAAAATTTCACTGATTTCCCAGAATGAAACTTTTTTCAGAAGTCTCTATTACAAGATATTTGAGAGCCAAATTACTAAACTGGACTTTGAAAATGATTTTACAGAATCATAATACTAGAGCTAGAAGAGCCTATAAAGATTAAAGTCCAGCTGCCTTGTTTTAGAGATGGATAGACATTCATACATTTATTCATTTCTGAAACATTTCCTGGTGCCTAACATATAGCCCACACTATGCTAAGTACAGAGGATTCAACATTGGAGGAGACAAAATAAGTCAATAATGAAATCAATGGATGAATGCCACAATACGGACAGGATGAGGTGCCGTGAGATCACAGAGGAGGAGAATCTGAATAAGGAAACCAAGCCCAGGAGATAATGTGATTTGTGTAATTTACACAGTTACCTGGGGACATATTTTGGTCATGGCTCAGTAGAGAGATTCATGAGATACACTTTTATTTTTGATATTAGTGTTCTCTCATTTAGTAACTTGTACATTGCTATAACTTTCTCCTCTCCAGCTGACACTTGGATGATTCCAGGCATTTTATCTTCAGGATTCCCTAACATTTATAGATCTTCAGTGGCTTCTATTTTCTATTTTTTAAAATAAAATAAAGTAAAATCCTTACGTCTAGGTGTGATGGCTCACACCTGTAATCCCAGCACTATGGGAGGTCGAAATGGGAGGATCACCTGAGGTCAGGAGTTCAAGATCAGCCTGGCAAACATGGCAAAACCCCATCTCTACTAAAAATACAAAAATGAGCCAGTTGTGGTGGTCACGCACCTGTAGTCCCACCTACTCAGGAAGCCGAGGCAGGAGAATCGCTTGAACCCAGGAGGTGGAGGTTGCAGTGAACCAAGATCATACCACTTCACTCCAGCCTGGGTGACAGAGCAAGACTCTGTCTCAAAAAAATTTTTTTTAATTAAAAAAATAAAATCCTTAGCTTAGTCTTCAAGATTGTTTATAGTAATGGCGCCATCTTATTTTTGCAAGTCTTAGCTTTTGGATGTTCTATTTCAGCCACGCCGAAGTAATCACTATTTTCTGAACACATCTTGGCCACTCCCATCCCCATTCGTTTGCTCAGGTTCTTCCCCTAGCCTCTGTACTGGTGACTTGTCACCATCTTTCATGAGGCCTCGATCATTTTAGCCCTCCTCTGTATACTGTGGAGACAGAGTGGTGAGCTGCTTATTGATCTGCAGTACTAACAGCATGACTCTGACATGTTGGTAATAAGATCAGATATTAATAATACCCTCTGATGGTGCTATTGTGAAGATTAGGTAAGAAAAAGTTTGCAAAAACTTATAGGAGAACTGGATACAATGTCTTTTATTCTATTCCCTTCTAATTCCTTATGGAGTTTCTTTTATACCACCTATTACCTACTATCTCACTGCTGTTTATATATATTTTCTTTCTCAGGAACATTGCTAGGGAGCAAATGTAGGAATCATGTTTCTGTTTATCTATGAATCATCTATAATACGTAACATACTATCCTATATATAGCAGGCTTCAGTCAAGTTTTTGAAAGGGTAAATGAAGATTGGAAGAGCTGGATGGATGAATGGATGCATGACGCCATGAGGTTTAACTGTGGCAGCATTTGTACTTATGCCCACAAAGAAGTTAGCAACATTCCTACAGCAAACTTCCATGTAAAATAACTACCAGCAGTTCTTCCTTAAACATTCTCTTCTCTTTGAGAAGGAACGTCTTTGCACATCAACCTGATCAAGACTTTTTAAAGAGCAGAAAGGTCGTATCCTAACAAGACACTTTAAAAAGTGGCTTCATAGCCAGGCATTGTGGGTGGGGGCGCCTGTAATCCCAGCTACTCAGAAGGCTGAGGCAGGAGAATCACTTGAACCCAGAAGATGGAGGTTGCAGTGAGCCGAGATCGTGCCACTGCACTCCAGCCTGGGCGACAGAGTGAGACTCCGTCTCGAAAAAAAAAAAAAGAGCGGTTTCATACCACATTCTTGAGGCTGATTTCTTTTATTGCTCTACATGGTTTCCAAGGAGGGGCTTTCCGGAAGGTCGAGATGAGGCCTAGGGAGTGTGGCAGCAAGGGACAAGGTCAGCCCTTATGTGTTCTAGACAGAGTGCTTCATTTAATGTAACGACCTAGACAAAATCAGAGGCTTTACTGGCCTCCTTCAATTTGAGTCAGAAGGAATTGTCTCAAAGCTCACTTCTGCATAAAGACCTGATCTCAGCAGCCGGCCAAGTGTGTCTGGTCTTACTCTGCCTACAAACATTAGCAAACTGTGTATCCAATTCTGCCAACCACAGTAAAACCTCATTAAGTACACAGTGTCAACAGAGAAGCCTGCTTTTCAAAATAATGGACTATTTAGCTTCACAGCTGGGATTCATCTCACCCTACAAAGCGACATTCCCATCGTGGCTTTCCAAATGTAAGAAGCAAGTCCTCATGTTATAAAATTATATGTAAGAAAGAGATATAGACACTCTCCCACTCCTCAGGTTATGGTTGAAAATGCATTTGGTTGGAATAGTGCCTTGAACAAAATGGGCATTTCACAGATTTTTTTTAAGCTCAGTGGCAAGCACCATAGATATTTTTTGAATGCATATTGAATAAAGTTTGGTTCAAAAAGCTATTTTGAAGGATTTATTTTGTGACTAGCAATAACACTGTTCCTTTTCTCTCCAGAAAGCATTACACTACTTCTTAAAGGCAGCAAAGGCCGGGAGTGCAAATGCCATGGCATTTATAGGAAAGGTACATGCTTCATCTTGATTCATTGTTTTCATTTATTAAAAACCTAAGAAATTAAACTGGGCATAGCAGCGTGTGCCTGTTGTCCCAGCTACTTGGGAAGTTGAGGTGGAAAGATCATTGAGCACAGGCAACCAGCCTGGGCAACACGGCAAGACCCTCATCTCAAAATAATTAAAATTTAAATTTAAAAATTAAAAATCTAACAAATTAATGATACCAGCTCATTGAACCCATTGTAGAGGGACAGGGCAGCAGGCCTCTTTCACGGAAGCGGCTAAGTGGGACATCTGGCTGCAACCCGAGGGTGATATTCTTGAGGTGACAGTTTGGGAAGAAGCCCCATATAACAGCAGCCTTTATCTGGGGCACCAAAAGCAGCCTTAAAAGTGCACCTTGGCCGGGCACGGTGGCTCACGCCTGTAATCCCAGCACTTTGGGAGGCTGAGGCAGGTGGATTGTTTGAGGTCAGGAGTTCAAGACCAGCCTGGCCAACATGGTGAAACCCCCGTCTCTACTAAAACTACAAAAATTAGCTAGGTGTGGTGGCGGGTGCCTGTAATCCCAGCTACTTGGGAGGCTGAGGCAGGAGAATCACTTGAACCTGGGAGGCAGAGGGTGCAGTGAGCTGAGATCACGCCACTGCTCTCCAGCCTGGGCAACAGAGGGAGACTCCGTCTCCAAAAATAAAAAATAAAATAAAAATGTGCACCTGGCCCAGGGCTCCTCCTCTGAGCGTAGCTATGAGCCTATGACCACCCCACTCCCCAATATGTAAGAGGAGATCCAGGTTGGTTGAGCACTGGAGACCGGGACAGGTCTCAGCCCAATCAGGCCCTTCTCTGCTCTACTGCTGGAGTGTGAATCAGCTCCAGGCTGACCAGAGCTATCCTTATGCCACCTCTGATGAGAGGCCTCCTGTGGCTGCAGAGTAGCCTGGTGGAGGGTTCCTCTGGAAAGGCATGTTCTTCTGTCTCCTTCAAAGACTATTCACTCCCCTGTGTGCCACCCTTGGCTCCCTGCAGCCGATTTGCATTAGTAACCATAGGGACGAATGTCCTGCTTCCTAAGTGCAACATACAGTAAATGTAGATGCAAAAAAAAAAAAAAAAAAAAGAGAGAGAGAGAGAGAAAACACAAACAGGGTCCATTTCTTTGCCCTCAGGCAGGGTCACTCCAGAAGTCTGTAATAAATGGTACTCTTACTTTTTCTTGTTTTAAATTGAGGTAAAATGTAAATATGTAAATAACACAAAATTGACCACTTTATACAATTCAGTGGCATTTACAGTGGCATTTACTACATTCAATATGTTGTACCACTGTTACCTCTATTTCATTTTAAAATATTTGCATTACTCTCAAATTATTTTGTTTTTTCTATCCTCTTTTCATTTTTCTTCCTAGATGTATTTAGAGGGGAATGCTGCCGTGCCGCAAAATAACGCTACTGCCTTCAAGTACTTTTCCATGGCAGCCAGTAAGGTATGTCCTCAATGCACTGTTGTAAACACATACACACAAATTGCTTTTATTACACGCAGACTGGTGCCAAAGAATTGACTTCGAAGTCCCAAGCCCAGATAATGGGCCTGTAAGGAGTTTTGTGTCCTGGAGAAGTATAATACTGGTGATGGGAGTAAGGGAAGCTACAACTTGCCTTCTTGGAAAATGAAAAATGGCAGTGGCTTGTGCTGCCCTAGCAGAGGCCAGGAGGAGGCCAGACAGAAGTTCAGCCAGACAGAAGTTCAGCTTTCCCCTCTCCCTTATGCAGTAGATGAGGCCATCTAGCTTAGGAACAGGAAACAAAAGAGATGAGGACAGAGGAAGGGAAAATCCAATCAATAGCTGCAGGAAGTTCAAGACAAAGACATCCTAGGAATGTCCAGTTTTCTCCAGTCTCATCTCATCCAAAGGCCAGAGCTCCCTCTGGCCCAGGCGGGAGCTTGTCAGGGAGGAGGCCAGGGCAAGGCGACTGAGAATAGGGATCTGGAGACAGAATCCCTGGCTTGAATGGCAGCCCTAAAACTGACTAGCTGTGTGAACAAGGGCAAGTTACTTAGCCTCTCTGTGCCTCAATTTCCCCATCTGTAAAATGGGAATTTAAGAATATTTGCCTGCCAGGCACAGTGGCTCACGCTTGTAATCCCAACACTTTGGGAGGCTGAAACAGGCAGATTGCTTGAGCTCAGGAGTTTGAGACCAGCCTGGGCAACATGGTGAAACCCCATTTCTACAAAAAATACAAAAATTAGCCTGGCATGCTGGCACATACCTGTAGTCCCAGCTGCTCACAAGGCTATGCTTCATTCATATTGTGAAGTACTTAAAGCAGTGCCTGGCACACAGTAAGGGCGCTTTTATCTTTTGCAGTCTGGGGCCAGTAAAGTGGAGTGAACTTCGAAGCACATCCCAGACAGAATGAATTAGCTGTATGAGGGACGATCGAAATGGTATAATATGCCTCCTGCATCGAAGTCTTTGCCTCTGCTCCTGGGGTCCGTGAGGCTGGTATCTGTCAGATAAGACTTAGTAGACTCCTTTGAATCCCTTTCATGCATAAAAAATGCCCTCATCCCACACCCATCGGCCTGCTCTTGGCGAATGGCCTTGGTAAACTTTCTAACCCTGCACAGTAGGAAGCATTTTGTTGTCTTACAGTTGCATACTGGAACACTGGCAGTAAAGATGTGCTCAAACCAGGAATCATTTCAACTGTTCTCAGTTTTTAAAAACCCACACACTGCTTTAGGAGCCTATTTATAAGTGACTACCACCTCAGAGCTGCTGCTATTGTGGTGTAAATTACTGAGAAGGCTAGTACTCTGCTCCTCTCCTTTGTAATTTATATGGAATTGTTGCTCAGAAAGGCAGTTATCTGAAGTACCATTAGATTAGGATGACAAGGAAGAGCAGACTGAAAAGGAGTAACATGGAAAATCTCTTATCATCTGGCAAATAACACTGATTTGTCAGCCCATAAGAATAATGCCAGGGAGATGGGAATGTAAATTAACTCAGATTCCAAGCTATTCAGGGTTGTGGAACCAACCAGCAGTGATCTGGGTCTCCGGTGCGCTGAACCCGAGCTACTTTCCTTTACAAAGGAAATCTGAACTTACAATTAAGGTAATTATTCTAAATGGCATTAGGTGGAGATGGCCACATACTTCTTGATCAGCGCCTGAACAATTTATTAGATTTCTCACTCTTACTACTTTTTTAAAAACTGCTTTCTAAATTTGTTTTTAAATGATATCAATACCATGACACAGAGCTACACATTTTACAACATCTTTTGTCTTATTTACTTAGAAACAAGCACAGTGACTGTATGTGACGTTGTGCCCATGTTGGACCACATTCCTCCAGTTCTCTCTTGCGCCCTGAGCATGTCAGGCCCGTCCCCATCTCCATACTTTTGTCATCTGCCTCCCCTTCCCAGACTCTCTTATTCTAAGTCCTACTCATCCCCAGAGCGGAGCCCAATCCTCCCTTCATCCACAGAGCTGCCCCTGCCCTTGCTGGCTCACATGATCTCTTTCCTGTTCTGAACTTACCCTGCGTTCACTCCTGCTGCTGGGATTTAACTGCTTCCTACCTGTGGCTTCTCCCCTCCTGTCCAAAGGCCATGTGTCCTCAACTAGAGGAGGGCAAAGGTCCTGCCAGGGGGTTATTAAATAAAGGGGTCCAGGGCAGGGGATTATTAAATATTTGCCAAAGAAATGCCTGTCTGCTCCCTGGCTTCATGTCAGCTAACCTAAGCAAGAGCATTACACCCTGAAACAGCAGGTGTATACTGCAGGGTTTGGCTATACATATGGCTTTTCTGGCCCAGAAAGTGTTTTAAAAATCAGTAAACTGGCCAGGCATGGTGGATCACGCCTGTAATCCCAACACTTTGGGAGGCTGAGGCAGGCGGATCACCAGGTCAAGAGATCGAGACCATCCTGGCCAACATGGTGAAACCCCATCTCTACTAAAAATACAAAAATTAGCTGGGCATGGTGGCACATGCCTATAGTCCCAGCTACTCAGGAGGCTGAGGCAGGAGAATCACTTAAACCCGGGAGGAAGAGGTTGTAGTGAACTGAGATCATGCCACTGCACTCCAGCCTGGCAACAGAGCAAGACTCTGTCTCAAAAAATAAATAAATAAATAAATAAAAATAAATGAGTAAAATTCACATCCAAATCTAAACATCTAGCTTTTCTTGAAAATGGCAAAAGCTAGCTAGGCATGGTGGCTCACACCTGTAAATCCCAGCACTTTGGGAGGCTGAGGCTGGTGGATCACTTGAGGTCAGGAGTTCGAGACCAGCCTGGTCAACATGGTGAAATCCCGTGTCTACAGAAAGTACAAAATTAGCCAGGCATGGGGGTGCATGCCTGTAATCCCAGCTACTTGGGAGGCTGAGGCATGAAACTCACTTAAACCCAGGAGGCAAAGGTTGCAGTGAGCTGAGATCACTCCACAGCACTCCAGCATGGGTGATAGAGCAAGAGTCTGTCTCAAAAAAAAAAAAAAAGAAAAAAGAAAATGGCAAACGCTGATGAAACAGGACTGCCATTCCATGTGGCACCAACCAGCTGGAGCAGAGGAACTGAGAGCTGCTGCTGCCTTCACACAGGGCAGGGACTCCACGTGTCTCCATCTGCACCACTGTCTCCACTACCTGGCATATTTTATTTCTTATATCACCGGCATGGTTCCTGCAGGTGTCTGAACTGGCCACTCTTCGCCTGACAAGTTCTAAATAGGCACACTGGGCCTTAAACAGTGATGGGTAATTCACTGAGTCCCTGGGATCCCAGGGACTCCCTTAGAGGAGAAAGTAATTTGTCCCTGCTATTCTAACATTTCTCCTTTCTCTCTCCCTTCTTCCTTCCCTCCTTTCATATCTGTTTCCTTCCCTTCTGTATTAGTCCGTTCTCACATTGCTAATAAAGACATACCCAAGACTGGGTAATTTATAAAGGAAAGAGATTTAATTGGCTCACAGTTCAGCATTGCTGGGGAGGCCTCAGAAAATGTACAATCATGGCAGAAGGGAAAGCAACCACGTCCTTCTTCACATGGCGGCAGCAAGGAGAAGTGCCGAGCAAAAGAGGGAAAAGCCCCTTATAAAGCCATCAGATCGCATGAGAACTCACTCACTATCACAGGAACAGCAGCACGGGGGTAACCGCCCCCATGATTCAATTACCTCCCACCAGGTCTCTCCCATGATGCATGGGGATTATAGGAACTACAATTCAAGATGACATCTAAACAAGGCTAATTAGAAGAAGACAGACTCACTAGACTTTGCCACATCCATCACACTGATCCTTACTACTTCCAGAGCAGAGCAACTCAAGACTCCCAGAACCACAGGAGATATAGCCAGGAGAGAAGAGGGAAGAAGAGAGCAGAGTTATACCACCTGTTTTAAATACAGATGGACTGTCCTTAAGAACCCTTACAATAGCAGATCATTTCATATGATAGGCTCAAAATTTGGAGTCTTGAAACCACTTTTGAAATATGCCTTCTCTATTTATGTGCTATTCCTGTGTTACTGAGGGTTACTCCGGCTGCATCTACAATAACTAAATGTAGGTGGTAAGAAGAAATTTGGAGAGCTTTTTATTAGAACATAAGTTCCTGCAGAAATACTAGGAACCTGTAAAACATACCTACAGATCTGCTGAATCAAAGTCAGTTGGTCGGCAGGGTGCGGTGTCTCACGCCTGTAATCCCACCACTTTGGGAAGCTGAGATGGGTGGATCACTTGAGGCTAGGAGTTTGAGACCTGCCTGGCCAACATGATGAAACCCCATCTCTATTAAAAATACGAAAAACAGCTGGGCATGGTGGCGTGCACCTGTAATCCCAGTTACTCAGGAGGCTGAGGCAGGAGAATAGTTTGAACCAGGGAAGCAGAGGTTGCAGTGAGCCGAGATCACCTCACTGCACTCCAGCCTGGGCAACAGAGTGAGACTCCGTCTCAAAAAAAAAAAAAGAAAGTCAGGTGGTCAATCATGGTTTCTTACTGTAGTCACTAGAGGGTGAAATGCGTGATAGGACATGGAAAGAAAAAGGAGTTTTCTCCTTGAGTAAGTCACTTTCAAGGTTCACTCTTCATCCAAAATTGATATGCTAAATATCAATATATTTGAACATGTGCTGAATACTAAATGTGCTAAATACTCCCTTCCTTAGAGTATTCCAATATTAATCAGAAAATAAATAGTAATTAATTTAGCATCAAGTGGAAAAGGAAACATCGGGGATGTTATAAGCAATAAATTTGAATAAAGAAATATACCAACGATGCTTTACTATCTGTAGTGGCTGGATTGTAATCCACAGAGTCTCTAAAATGTGATTAGGCCATTTACGTCAACCTCTGTAGACCTGAGTAGGTAACAAGTGTCTGGATAGACTTCTCCCTTCTGGAAAACTCCTACACATCCTTTAAGACCTAGCTCAAATGTCACCACCCCTGACAACTTGATCTCCTTCAATTCCTAGTCTAAATCAGGCAATAGAGTGTCCCTCTTCTAGGTGTCTGCAACACTCTCAATCTATTTCTTTTTTTTTTTTTTTTTTTTTTGAGATGGAGTTTTGATCTTTCGCCCAGGCTGGAGTGAAGTGGCGCAATCTCGGCTCACTGCAACCTCCACTCCATGGGTTCAAGCAATTCTCCTGCCTCAGCTTCCCAAGTAGCTGGGATTACAGGTGTGTGCCACCACACCCAGCTAATTTTTACATTTTTAGTAGAGACAGGGTTTCACCATGTTGGCCAGGATGGTCTCGAACTCCTGACCTCAGGTGATCTGCCCACCTTGGCCTCCCTAAGTGCTGGGATTACAGGCATGGGCCACCATGCCCGGCCTCAATCTATTTCAACTTTAGGACTTACCACATTTGACAGGACTCTAAGAGGTCTGACCTGCCCCTCCCCTTTGATATGGCTCAGAGCCCCCTAGCGTGTGAACTCTTCAAGGCAGGGATCATGGCTTCTTCATCTTTTACCTTTCACCTGCTACCTCTGCCCAGTGCCTACTATGGAATCATACACAAAACAAGTCCTAAATAAGTGTTGAATACAAGAATGGAGGAAAGGTTTGACTTCTGTTTCCCTCTTCCCTTTTCTAGCCAGAAGGTTTATGAAAGTATAAAAGGAGGAACTAGAGTGGGTCAGAATAACCTGCCAACTGCCTTGATTAATCTCTTACTGGGTGCATGTCAAATATTTTGAAAAATTTTGCAGTAATTTTCCTTATCATGAATTCTTCTGGGACTTTACTTGGCTTTATAAAACTCTTCTAGGGCAATGCAATCGGCCTTCATGGGCTTGGTCTTCTTTACTTTCATGGAAAAGGAGTTCCCCTGGTAAGTTAAATTATTTTATTATCTTTTTATTTGTAGCAATTTACAGGGTAAAATTCATGGTCATTCATTAGTTTAAAGGAATTTATCTCTATTATCTGGTTTGCCAAACTGTGATATCAGATAATAGAGAATAAAATAATCCAGTGAAATCTCTGCCAAAGAGACACTGAAGAACAAGCTTGTGACAAGAATAGTAATTCTAATTATAGCTTAGAATCATAGATTCTAAGTAACCTTAGAAATCATCTATCCTCTGAGGACTTTATTGATGGAGAAATTTATCTTCATAGTCTTTTGAGTGACCTTCCCCCAATATCTAACAAAACTTACTGTCAATGTAGAAAAAGACATAATTATGATGAAAATGAGGCATTATTTCCTAATAGAGTCTAATATAATAATGAAATAAAATATATAATGTTTCTGATACTATTTTAATTACCCTAAATCACATAGGGCACTGTCTATACTCTTTTTAAGAAGTGGAAGGCAATTGTTTCCATGGAGTTTTACTTGTGCCTTTGAGTAATAGAGTGTAATTATCTTGCAGAATTATGCCGAAGCACTTAAATACTTTCAGAAAGCTGCGGAAAAAGGGTGGCCCGACGCACAGTTCCAGTTAGGCTTCATGTACTACTGTAAGTGCCACAAATACAGCTGCTTTATTTAGAATGACATATGCATTATTAAGTCTGCTTCTTTTATAACAAACATCAAAGGTTTGGTGTGAGTGGTTTAGACAGAACATTTAGGCAACAAATTAAATAAGAATTTGAAAAAGCCTAAAGAAAAGGACACTGGTTGGGAGGGGGGACAAGGAGGTGCAGAGTCAGGAAGCTTATCTTTGACAAGGTTAAGTTGGAGGTGCTAGCGATATCCCGTGCACATCCCCAGAAGCAAGTACGACACTCACGAGAAAGGTCAAACTTACAGAGAAGGTTCGAGAGGCATCAGCACGCAGCTATTAGTTAAGAGTAGTTGAGGTTGCAAAAGGAAAGGAGCAAGAGGGTGAGAGGAAAGAGCAGTGGGCCATGGTAGATAACTAGTGATCCTCCGTGCTGTATTGAAGGGTAGGCAGGGGAAGTACATCACTGAGAAGAATGGAAAGCCAAGCTCAGCGGAATAGGGAACAAAAAAAAAAAAAGATCTTAATGGAGCCAAGGGAAGAACTTTCAAGGAAGAGTAAATGAATGGGCACCCCTGTGAAATGCAGTGAGAAACCTGGTTTAAAAAACAAGTAAGAGGCCGGGCGTGGTGGCTCACGCCTGTAATCCTAGCACTTTGGGAGGCCGAGGCGGGCGGATCACGAATTCGAGACCAGCCTGGCCAATATGGTGAAACCCCGTGTCTACTAAAAATACAAAAATTAGCCTGGCATGGTGGCGGCTGCCTGTAGTCCCAGCTACTCGGGAGGCTGAGGCAGAATCAAATTGCTTGAACCCAGGAGGTGGAGGTTGCAGTGAGCCTAGATCACGCCACTGCATTCCAACATGGGCAACAGAGTGAGACTCCATCTCAAAAAAAAAAAAAAAAAGTAAGAAAGAATGAAATATGTATGAGACTTGGCAATACAGAGACTGTGGGTGAGGTCATTGGACTGCTTGGGGTGGAAGCCGCATGCCAACGGCATGAACGGAAGATCAGGAAGTTGAGAAATAAAAGTATTCTTGCAAGCAGCATGCCCTTAAAGGGAAGGAAAGAGAAGGAACTCAGCATCAGGGGGACTAGGACCCAGAGGGAGTTACTTTTAAGATGAAGAGACCTGAGCATAATTATAATTGATGGAAAGAGATTCTGAAAAACATTGGTGGTATTAGCACCTGATTAGGCACAGATCAGTGGAAGCCTCTTTAACCGTGATAGATAGACAGGATTGCTTACCCTCAAAGACTGGAGAGAGGGTGGAAAGGATGATGCGAATCTAAGTATGGGGGAATGGGATGGGGAGAGAGGTGAGTGAGGAAAGACAATATGAAGTTTTCTTCAATGATCTAGTAGGTACAAAGTTGACTTCTGTGAGCAAAGGTAGAGTGGTTGGCTAGGAGGTCTTAGAAAGCCATGAAAGTTTGTAACAATCTCTGTGGGGAGTGAGAGAGGAAGTGGCCAAGACAAATACCA
Organism: Homo sapiens; assembly: GCF_000001405.40. Taxonomy (NCBI): domain Eukaryota; kingdom Metazoa; phylum Chordata; class Mammalia; order Primates; family Hominidae; genus Homo; species Homo sapiens. The sequence goes on along the minus strand of NW_025791811.1, from coordinate 76,573 downwards.
GGAGATATGAACATACCTGAGTATCCCCACCAAGTCCTTCATGTCAGAGGAGGAGCCAGGGCAGCAGCAGACCACATCATCAAGGAGGTCACATCCGGTCAAGGGGTCACTGGCATTTTCCACGGTGGCCCAGCAGGAGCACCTGTTTTGTACTATCTTGGGGGGTTGAGGTTGCCTAAGATGGCCTTGTTCTTCTAGTTCATTCCAAGTCCTTGGCTTGGGATCTACCAGATTTCCCAAGTTTCTAGAATAAGAAAAATAGTCATGGCTAATGTATATTAAGTCTTCGTATGTTTTAACTCATTTCGTATGTTTTAACTCATTTGACCCTCTCAACTCATTTGACCCTCTCAACATCTACCGGGTATCCCACAGTGTATCCACTGTGATGAGCAAACTAAGCCAATGTTGTGGTTGGACATCTTGCCCAGGATCACACAGTTGTGGAGCTGGAATTCAAATTCAAGCAATTTGCCTCCAGAGCTTTTGCTCTTAATCGCTACATGGCACTGCTTCTAAAGGCTCCAGTGTTAGAGCTGGAAGATAACTTAAAGACCATCTAAGGAAAGCCTTCACTTTTGCAAATAAAGTGCCTAAATGGCCCAAGTCACAAAAGAACTAATGAGAGAGCCAGGACAAGAATCTTGGCTGCTGGGAGTCTGCTGGTTCTCTGCTCTAGCTTCAAGTGCCTATTCTTGCTCTAAGCAGGAGTTTGGTGAGAGTTCGGCTTCTTGGAGCTGGGATTTACCTGCTGCATACGCCATAGTCATGGCTGGGAGAAGCTATATGGGTGTCCTGATATGGAAGGATCACAAAGATGGCGAGATAAATCATGGTGGCGCTTCGGGTCCTCAGAGACCATCACTTGGTCTCCTTTGCATTAATTTTAGTTATGCCATAGTGAGGAGATACTTTCATAAGACGAAGTAGTCCTTCTTTCTCAATTTTTTTTTCAGAATGGCTCAAGAATATAAATTTCCATATTCTTACTTAGAACCAAACTCAGTGTTCACCCCCACCTTCACAAATAGTGGATTTAGAGTAGCTTGACTTTTGGTTGGCTTTTCCCATTCTATTTAAATAGCAGGCATCACTATGACTATTATATCCATAGATTATAATATAAAAAATAAAGTCAATAAGGGGTGGCTCAAAACAATTTTAATTTTCAGCTGGCTCTGGAATATGGAAGGATTATAAACTTGCCTTCAAATATTTTTACCTGGCATCTCAGAGTGGGCAGCCCCTTGCCATTTATTATCTGGCCAAGATGTATGCAACAGGAACAGGAGTAGTAAGATCATGCAGAACTGCTGTGGAGGTAAATATAATATGCGGCTGTTTTTAAAGCACTTGTCATATATGACACAGAGGAGGTGATACTGTTCTTAAATTGTTGGTGTCTTTGATTTTATAAATATTACCTCTTTTCTTCCAGTTGACAATGTGAATACTGACATTTGTCAGAGGGGAAAAGCAGTGATGTAACTCAGGTTGGGGAAGGGAGACAGAGAAAAGATCTCTCCTCTCTCTGACATTTGGCTTTTCATCAGGTTCAGAGCTCACCTCAACATGCAGTTAAGGAGCTCTGTTTCAGCATTCAATCAAATCACCAGGGCAATTTGGCACTTCTAGTGGGATTGGGAGTTGCTACTTGGGAACCAAAAGGCTAGATTTAGCCTAGAAAATGTAGCCCACTTCTTCCCAGAAAGCAGCATCCTTAGGTTTTTGATGATTTGGATGACAATTGAGAAAGTGAATTCTTTCAGCCTGAGCCAGTGATGCGCTTTCCAAAAGAATGCTTTTAGGACCTTAATGTCCTTCATTGATTTATTAAACACGTCTGCTACACCAGCATAAATACTCTATGTTGCAATCTGGCCCCTCTGAAGCTTATTTCAAAAGCTGCCAGCTAATGATCTATCTTTAGATTTGCTCCTTTGCCAACTTCCTAATGAATTATGTATGGCTAACCTCTTTTGGTTACATAAGGGCTATTCAGCTAAGTTGACATTTGTCCCCCTAGGGCTCTGCACACCTCTCTCACAGTTATGTCACCTACACCCTCCGGCACTGTCTTTCCTTCATTCTCTCCTTTTCACATCAGCTGTGGCCTTATAACTTGCCCTCGCAGAGCAGCAGTGCTCAGAAAGTCCCTTTAAGAACACACACACACACACACACACACACAGACACACACACTAGCGATACATTCTTATTCTTCCAAATAGCCTCCAAGTCAGGAAAGTTTATTATACAAATTTAAAATAAGGCTGAGGAAGTTTCCCTCAAGACAAAAACAAAACAAAACAAACCCAAACACTTCTGATCTTTGTGCCTATAAAAGGTATTAACTCTTTACCCTAAATAATTTGCAAAAGCCATGTTTTAGACCTAAAATCCTTCCCTGACCAGCTGGTAGGAGCTGAAGACTGATTTCCTTTCTCATTTGCCTGGGGTGAAGCATACTGGCTAACTAGTCTCCTTGATTTCTCCTCTCATGTACAGCTTTATAAAGGTGTCTGTGAACTAGGCCACTGGGCTGAGAAATTCCTGACAGCTTACTTTGCCTATAAGGATGGTGATATAGATTCTTCTCTTGTTCAGTATGCACTGCTTGCAGAAATGGGGTATGAAGTAGCTCAAAGCAATTCAGCATTCATTTTGGAATCTAGTAAGATGAGTTAAAATTCTCTGCAATCCCCCAATCATACATATGCATGTATGACTTTACTACAGAGGCATTTTAAGCCTTCCTAATGGAATGTCTCCTCTTTTTAGAAAAGGCTAACATTCTTGAAAAAGAGAAGATGTATCCAATGGCGCTTCTCCTATGGAATCGAGCTGCCATTCAAGGTATGGAACCCAGATAAAAATAAGCACATACCCGGTCCCTGTCCTCTGTTATTCATCACGTTTGCTGTAGCTGCGTGTTTGTGCACATAGGCAGCAAAGGGTAGAATATCAAGTAGGTGACATTTCAAACTATACTGATGTTAGGGTCAGTCTTTGGTGAGAGATCATTTCCAGGAATTTATTTTCCCCATTATTATCAAGGTCCCTGATTCAGCAAGCCATAGGAATTTTTCTATGGCTCTGTCTCCGTGACACCAGAACAGTTCTTTGAAATATACAATTTTACTCAAAAAACCAGTTTTCTTGGTCTGGCTTCACTCATTCATTGCTGAGATCTTGACTGAACTAATCAGAGACATGACCCATGTCTCAATGAGTTTACAAGCAAAATTAGTTATGTATGTATCTAAGGCTCATGTGATTTCTCTATTAAAATATCACATTGATGACTACCATAAACTTCAGATCTTTACTACAATCATTAGCATGTAAGAATAAAAAACCAAACCAAAACAAAACAGATACATGGCAGGATCCTCTCGCTTTTCCTCGAGTTTCCATGTCTCGCTTGCTGGCATCACATGGATAAGGAATATAAGATACCAGTGGTGGGAAAAGCATTGGCAGGTGGTATTTTCATTGCATTGCGATGTCTCTTACTATTTTTCCCCTAAAATTATATTATTAAAAGCAGAGAAATACTGCAAAGCTGTCACCATTGGCATTTGGATATGTGAAAACTCTCTTGCAATAAGAGAGCAATTTTGCTTCCAATTAGGTTTCTTAAAATTGTCTTATGCTAAGGCCAAATCATCCCTTTTCACAGGAAGTGAATAGGATAAAAAATGATTCTCAGCTGACACTAATATGAAGCATAGGAAAAAGTCACAGTGGTGCTTTCTCATATCCAGCTGAGCCGGTAGCACAGCAACAGCCATCAATGCAATTTTAGTGAGACATTCCCCTTAAAAAGTCTATGTTTTATAAAATGCAATGAAGACCTTATTTAGAGTGGGGAAACAATACCCGCAATCTCTCAGCCATGGCCAGTCAGCTCAATTACAACAAATGTGGGTTTATTCCAAGCCAGGAAATGGTGTGGAAATTGCAGCAAGGAAAAGAGACATTGAAAACAAGGGTACATTGAGATATATACATATATATTTTTTTCTTTATCTTTTTCTTTTTTTTTTTTTTTGAGATGGAGTCTTGCTCTGTCTCCAGGCTGGGGTGCAGTGGCACAATCTAGGCTCACTGCAACCTCCGCCTCCTGGGTTCAAGTGATTCTCCTGCCTCAGCCTACCAAGTAGCTGGGACTACAGGCATGCGCCACCACACCCAGGTAATTTTTGTATTTTTAGTAGAGACGGGATTTCACCATGTGGACCAGGATAGTCTTGATCTCTTGACCTCGTGATCTGCCTGCCTCGGCTTCCCAAAGTGCTTGGATTACAGGCATCAGCCTATACCATCGCCCAGCTAGTACATTGATATTAAACTGAATTCCTCAATATAAAAAAGTCAGGCTGCTAAAAATAATCATGTGTCCTAAGAGAGGTCAGGTATAAGTGTCCCTGAAGATATGGCTACTGAGTGGCTCACTTGGGACTAGGGAATCTAATAATGAAATTTTCCAATTAGTCACTGGCCATACTCCTTTTAGCAGTTACTCATGTAAAGAGGGTGCTGAACCATCAGGACTCAGTCACTGCCCTGTGACTGTGAAATCGAAGTGGAAATCCCTCCACTGTCAGTTGATCCCCACAGGAGCCTGTCTGGCTCACCACATGCTGCCAGTCAGCCCCCTTATTAGGGTGGAGCTGAATTCCCCCAAGAACCAGCTTGTTCACTGCCTTCCATTCTTAGAGGCTTCAGGGATCCTGCTTACTGCCTGTACAACTTGACAATGCACAGAATTGTCCTATCTCTTTGTGGTTATAGCCCAGGAGGAATCTTAGGGTCAAAGGAAGGCAGCTTTGGGCAAAATTAGAGATGGAATAGGTTTCTCTTTAGAGCTCCATTGGACCTCCTGCTTCTTCAGACTCCCTTGGGCCTCTTTTCTGGGCACCATTCTTATAAGTTCTTGCTCCCAGTTACTGACCTGTACATTTGGAAGCATCTGGAAAGCAAGCCCTGATAACTAATGTCTTTGCCAGCTAAGAATTTTATAGACCAGGTGCAGTGGTTCATGCCTGTAATCCTAGCACTTTGGGAGACCGAGGTGGGAGAATTGCTTGAGACCAATAGTTCAAGACCAGGCTGGGCAACATAGTGAGACCTCATCTCTACAAAAAAATAAAAGATAAAAAAAATTAGTTGGGTGTGGTGGTGTGCACCTGTAGTTCTAGCTACTCAAGGGGCTGAGGCAGGAGGATCTCTTGAGCCCGGGAGATTGAGGCTGCAGTGAGCCGTGATCACATCACTGCACTCCAGCCTGGGCAACAGAGTGAGATTCTGTCTCAAAAATAATAATAATAATAAATAATAATAATAAAAATTTTATAGTGTTAGCTGTACTCAGAGAGACTTAAAGAAGGCTCATGGTATTACATCTTTTTGAAGTGTCTACATTTTAATAGAAGATTCTAGAAGATTAGAACTTCGGTACCTAAAGGAATAAATTCCAAAGGATGTTATGCACTACATTAGGGCCAAATGAGAAAATTTTGGAAGGAGTCCTATATCACTTAATGCTAGACCTGAGCTCATACAGGGCACTTCCTCTTTTTCTGAGTAAGCCGAGACCATGCTAGAAGGGCTGGCCACAGCTGAGATGGATGTCCTAGATGAGTGTTCCTTCATCTTTCCAATCAACACTCTCTTTGTGGATGGGAACATAGACCCCAAGGGGACCCTTAAGGGTCATCCCTAAGTGGACTTCAAAGACTGAAGTCTCAGATCTTAAAAAGTCACATGAGTTTTTTCTACTTGACATATTCATGTTTGTTGGACAGTCATATTCTAAAGTACTTGATATCTAGGGAAAGCATTATCTAAAAAGTTTCCTTGCATGTCCATCCATTCATTCTATATGTATTTATCAAGTACCATTCCGGGTTCTGGGATTGTGTCAGTGATTAAGAGTTCAAGGTGCTTGTCCTCATGAAGTACCTGCCCTCATATGGAAGAGAGAAAATAAACTAGTAAGCAAATCAGATGACAGTGACATGCTGTGAAGGAAATAAAACATGGAGATGAGGTAGATAACTTCTGGGGTGGGGGCTGAGGAGCACTTTAGACAAGGTAGTCGGAGACGGCCTCTAGGAGAGAAGTGGCATTGGCGCTTCTGAGAATGACGAGAAGCCAGCCACGGGAAGAGTCAGAGTGTTCCAAACCTGCCAGGTAGAGGGCCTTGAGGAATCGAATGCAGGGATCTTGTGCAGAGGGCAGGTGAGGCATAACTTGTAGGTCGTAAGGAGTCTGACTATTATTCCAAGGGCAAAGCAAAGTCATTGGAGGATTTTACACAAGGAAATAACATAACTTGATTTTACATTTTAAAAAGATCATCCTCTAGCTAAACAATATGAGGTTTCTCTTCAGAGCGATTAAAATATTCTAAAATTGTGGTAATGCTTGTACATCTCTGTGAATATATGAAAAACCATTTGACTGTACCCTTTAAATGGGTAAATTGGATGGTATGTGAATTGTATCTCAATAAAACTGTTACATATATACTATATATAACATATACATATATTATACATATATATATATCATGCTGGCTGGGTGCGTCACACCTGTAATCCCAGCACTTTGGGAGGCTGAATTGGGAGGATCGCTTGAGCCCAGGATTTCGAGACAAGCCAGAGCAATATGGTGAATACGGGCATGTTGGTGCATGCCTGTAGTCCTAGCTACTCAGGAGACTGGGGTAGGATGATCGCTTGAGCTTGGGAGGCTGAGGTTGCAGTGAGCTGAGATCATGCCATTGCACTACAGCCTAGGCGACAAATCCAGGCCCTGTCTCAAAAATAAATAAATAAAAATAAAAAAAAAGATCATCCTGGCTGTTGTGTGAAGAACGGGTTGGAAAGTGAAGATAAAAGAAGGGTTTGAAGCCTATTGTAGTATTGTAGGCTGGAATAGGCAGTGGAGGAGATATCAGGAGTTAAGCGTGTTTTAGAGGCAGAACCAACAGGACTTGATGAATTGGCTGATGGAGGCGAGGGAAAAAGAACTAGGAATAATTCCCCTAGACTTATGGCCTGAACAATGGGGGTGCTGTACTGAGACAGGGAAGAAACTGATGATTTTGTTTGGAGGAACGGGTGTAGGGTGCTAGGAAATCTCTGTTGGGCATTTTAAGTTTGAAATCCAAGTGGAGACATCAAGAGGCAATTATAAGAGCCTGGGCCTCAGGGAGAGAGAGATAGTAGATATAAATTTAGAAATAGTTAATAAAGACAGGCAATGGAACGAAACAAGGTCACCCAGAGAAAGAGTTGAGATGGAGCAGATTGTTGGAGAGAGGCGGGGAGGAGAGGTGAGAGAAGAGAAAAGAGGGAAAAGAAGAAAGAGAAAAAAAGGAGTTGGGAGCGAGCCGTTGACATTCCACATTTAGGAAGTGGGCAGAGGAGTCAGACAAGAGTTTGAAATAAAGAGCCCATGCAGTAGAAGGGAAACCAAGAGAAGGCAGTGCCATCAATGCTGCGACAGGACAGTGCTTGGGCAGATGGGGCCCATCACTCCAGTGCTGCTCAGACGTCGGGTAAGATGAGGCCAGAGATGTGGCAATGGATTTGGCTGCATGGAGGTCATCTACCACCTTCAAAATAGCAGCTTCACGGGCAAGGGGGCAGAAGCCAGTTTGGAGTGGGTTGAAGAGTCCATGGGAGGTGAAGCTTTGGAGACAGTGAGTATAGAACACACTTTTGAAAAGGTTCAGTGTAAAGGGGAACAGAGAAATGGGGCATGAGCTAGAAGGAGACACCACAGGATAAAGAGAGGGTTTATTTTTGTTCATAGAAGATGCCAGAGCGTGTTTGAATGGCGGACAGGATTGATCTGGGAAAGAGGGCGACACTGTTGACGCAGGAGAGCAGAGCTTCAGGAGTGACGTCTGAGAATGGGAGGGATGGGGTCCAACTTCCCAAGAGTTAATCTACTTAAAAAAATTAAAAGGTAAAATTGGTAAGTTTTTGTTCTTTAAGAACATTTGGCCGGGCGCGGAGGCTCACGCCTGTAATCCCAGCACTTTGGGAGGCCAAGGCGGGTGGATCACCTGAGGTCAGGAGTTCAAGACCAGCCTGGCCAACATGGTGAAACCCTGTCTCTACTAAAAATGCAAAAAAAAGTTAGCCGGGCATGGTGGCGGGCGCCTGGAATCCCAGCTACTTGGGAGATTGAGGCAGGAGAATCGCTTGAACCTGAGAGGCAGAGGTTGCAGAATGTGCCATTGCACTCCAGCCTGCCAGCCTGGGTGACAAGAGTGAAACTCTGTCTCAAAACAAACAAACAAACAAACAACAACAACAACAAAACATGCATACTATACCATGGATGTTACGCTATAATGAAAACAGTTAGCATTGAGTGTTATATTTGTATTCCATAAAGTATATCTAATTCCAGTTCTGGGGTTCTGAGTGTTTTTGGTTCCTTTTTATACTTGGCTATAGATACATATATATTTTAAAGGACTGAAACAAGATTACTAGGTTGAATTCCTGAGAACTATACATGAATCATTTGAGTTATGATTCTTTTTTCTCTAATATTTCTATCAGGCAATGCATTTGCTAGAGTAAAAATTGGAGATTACCATTACTATGGCTATGGGACTAAGAAAGACTATCAAACAGCAGCCACACACTACAGCATTGCAGCCAACAAATACCACAACGCGCAAGCCATGTTCAATCTGGCTTATATGTATGAACACGGCTTAGGCATCACAAAGGTAATTTTGCTGGTAATAATTCAAACCTAGTAATGACAGCTGTGTGAGAAGACAGAATGTGTAAATGTTTTGAATTTCATTGATGTCATCAATGTAGAGGAAGGAAGGAGAGGACTTAACATTTGCCAAATCCATCCCTTGTGCCAATACATATTACTTACCCTAATATGAACCTTATGAGATAGAAGTTATTTTCTCCATTTATGCCAAGGACATAACTGGTGAGTAGAAGAGATCTAGTCTAGGCCAATTCAACTAGTAAGTTCCTGCTTTTTGCAGCACATGCTTTTTCCAGTAGGCCCTGTCTCCATTTTCCTTCACCTCTGGGCCTTTCTTTCCATTAAAATTTCCACTGGTTCTCAAGCTCTCAGGAACAAGGAGAAAGTGAAAAGAGACCAGAGCTGGATACCAAGGTGGTATTAATCCAGAAAAGTCTTATGAAGCACCTACTGTGTACATGACCCAGTGCTGGATACTCTAGAAAGGCCAAAGAGAGTGAATCTCCAGTCCCCCAAGACTACACTTGACTTGAGGCGATGAGTCATATTCACTTAGAAAAACAGCCAGCACTGCAAGGTGGTATTGAGTAAATCTCTTAGACAGTGAGTAATTAAGGCAGAAGATGACATCAGGGTGTCACAGAGTGAGAAAGATGTATTCAGTATCAATAACGATAATAATAGCCAGGCATTGGGTTAAGTGGGCTATGCGTTTCTGTCATTTACATCACACAACCACTCAACGAGATAAGCCCTAGAACTATCCACTGTGTATGCATCAGGAAGCCACAGCGCAGAGAGGTTATGTCATTTGGCCAACCAGCTTGCGGAGCTCGTCAATGGTGGAGCCAGAATTTGAACCCAGCCCTATCTGACCCTGTTTTTTGGTGAAAGAGTGGGCCTCGCAGTGAGTCATTCTTGGTGGTCAAGCATGTGAGCTTTTCATTCCTGGCTGCGTTTCTAGAGCCAAATAACGTGGGAATTATCGGCTTTCCTATGCGCTCTTCTTTCTTCCGGTTGTGCTAGTAATTGAGAATTATTGGTAGGGAATTTCCTATTTGAGAACTGCTAGTGGTGCACAGTGAAGCCAAGGGCTTCTTATTCAGCGGTATGGATCCCTGCCATCCTGTCCTCCCCTGCAGCCTGCCTTTTGGCTGATCATTTTTCATTAGCCCTGGCACCCTAAGCAGTGGAAAGAATGTCAAATCCAAATCCAGTCTGTTTGCCCCATTTCTAGCAGTGTAAGCTTCCCATGTTTGTAAAATGTGGGTAAGAATGGGACAGGATGGATAGCTAAATTGGATAATTCTTGGGATGTTATTTAGCCATCCCTGGGCCCCTCACCCATTATCCACCTCAGTAAAACAGATATCTGCCCTGCCCCAGGCATTAAGAATAAAATGAATAAGATTTTATGAAAGGGCTTTGTAGTCAAACAGTATGTAGAATGACTGCTATTTAGATCAGAAGGGAATTAGAGCAACTGCTAAGTAAGGCTTCAATAAGATTAAAGCCTTTCTCTACTCATCATTCCTCATGCAAAACATAATAATATGGGAGAAGCACTGTCTATAGAAGGGATAAAGTGACCCCACTCCATGTGTTAAATTCATGTTAGCTTTCCTATCCTTGGCACCACCATGTTATTCAAAAAGGACTTGGTTGCCCTGACAGCTGTATTCGCACCTAGGTGAGGCCATTTTGCCTGAGTCCCTGGGGACAGGCAGGTGTCCTCTCAGGACACAGAGCCAGCAATGCTGGGAAAGGCACACTGCTGGCCAGTGCCCAGCTGGCGGACTGTCAGAGGGTTTGGTTTTCCTCTTTGGAGTCACCACTGATCTGTTTCCTAAGCACTTCCTTCACAATGTCAAATAGTAGTTGTTGAGACACACGTTTCATACATTCAGGAAAACACTTAAGTTTCTCTCTGGCCAGTTTTCTGTTCTTTTCTACCAGGGTTCTTGTTAAATCATGGGTAGTTCATTTTGAGCAGTCTCTTTCAGTCACAAGTCTATTTTTTTTTTCCTACAGAAAGTCTCTACATTAAAAAAAAAAAAAAATCAGGGACTACTCTTAACCTCCCACTTGGATATGAGAATTTTAGGCTGAGCTAATGAGGGACCATTGCCCTTTGTTTTTATTTGGTTTCTTTTGTTTAGCAATTACAAAAATAATAACTGAGTATCCAGAGGTATCTTGCCATCTCAGAGTCAAATTTACAAGGTGCTATCACCTTCTCTAATTCTTAAAATGAATATCCTGATAATTAAAAGCCCAAAGCTTGTTCTAATGAAAGCAAAGAGAGTAGGAGAATAGGCCTTCCCAGCAGTTAAGTCATCAAGTAATTAAGCATTTCTTCAATGAGGCACTTTGCAATCCTCTTTATTAGTTAATCCTCATGCAAACTAGTGAGAAAGATGAGTATAATACCACTATCACAGTGTCTTTGAGAATCAAAGAAGGTGATATGGAATAATGCTTTATAAACATGCAGACATTTAAGACCTCTGGGGAAGAAAGGTATAAATCATCTCTTGGTAAATCAATATTAAAATATGGGTCATTATTTTTATCATCTGTCTTTCAAAAAGGAAGTTGGGGCTGCGATGATGCAGGTGAGCTATCCTAGTAGCTTCACTGAGAAGCGTCTCAGCCAGTGAGCTCCTTGTCTCACTGACTGCATCATTGTTCTGGGAACAATGAATAATGGGAGTGACTGCATCATTGTTCTGAGAACACTGAATAATGCCTGGGGAGGAACTGGGAGAGGACCTGAAGTAGTTCAGAAACACAAGCATTCACACACAAGTTGTTATGAAACTGTTTCTCAGAGGGCCAGGCATGGTGGCTCACGCCTGTGATCCCAGCACACTGGGAGGCCGAGGTGGGCAGATCACTTGAGGTCAGGAGTTTGAGACCAGCCAGGCTAACATGGCAAAATCTTGTCTCTACTAAAAATGCAAAAATTAACCGGGCAAGGTAGCATGTGCCTATTGTCCCAGCTACTTGGGAAGCTGAGGCACGAGAATAGCTTGAACCCCGAAGGCAGAGGTTGCAGTGAGCCAAGATCCAGCCTGGGTGACAGAGCGAGGTTCCCTCTTAAAAAAAAAAACCCCAAAAAACAAAGAAACAGTTTTTCAGTTGATACTTGATTTGTAAGTACTTCGGAAATTGCACCATGAACAAAGCCTGTTGCCCATCCCCTCCTGGCCATCCTTTCTGTCTGTACCTTGGCTCAGGTCTGACTTTCTGCTCACCTCAGCTTGTAGTAAAGACTACTCAGGGGTCTTCAATTCTAGTGTTCTCCCTTTAAATCTGTGACCGAGATGACTCTGTTCACCAAAGATTTGCAATCCCCCATCCATAGTGAGGACTTGTAGCTGGGGTGCACCTGCCTAGTCAAAGACTATGTTCTCCAGCCTCCTTTGGATCCACCTGCTAGCTCTCGCAAGGGCGTGGAAGTGGAAGTGAAAGTGAAGGGTGTCATTTCTGGGCTAAGGCAGCCAAGAAGTAGATGTGGCTGCCCCCAGTCTCTTTCCCATCCATTGGCTGAAGGCGCCAGGAGATACAAAGGCTTTAGGGGACCCCAAAACCAGGTGATGGAAGGAGTTTGGCCCCACAATTACCACATGAAAAAAATTCACCACCAACCAGGAACATACGCTTTGGAATGCTGAATGGGGGAGAAATAAACTTCTATTGTGTTAAGCCATTAAAATTTGGGGATTTGTTACAGATAGCATTATCTTAATAAATAATTCATCTAACAAAGCACTGACAGGTCATTCTTGATAAAGTATAACCTTTACCTCCTCCGTCCTACCCACCCCTCTATCCTACCCTCTCCCCCAAATAAAACCGCCAAAAAATACAAACAAGCAAACATACAAATAAAAAGAATCTTATTTACTTTTTATTGCTAAATGAAGTCCAGACTTCTATTCCACATTCAAAGCCCCCAGTGACCTAGCCTACCTTGGTAATAGTGGTGTGATATAGCACTTTGCCCTATATAGATTCTAGGCTACTTATTCCTTCCCCTCAAAGACCTTGACCTGAGCCCTCCTGAGATATCATCCTTTTGCTGGAATGATCTTACCCCATATTTATGCCCATTGAAGACTAGTCCATTTTTCAAAGAACAGCTCCAATGTCATCTCCTCTAGGAATCCCTCAAGGAACCCCAGATTTTTTTTTTTTTTTTTTTTTTTTTGAGACGGAGTCTCGCTCTGTCACCAGGCTGGAGTGCAGTGGTGCAATCTTCGGTCACTGCAACCTCTGCCTCCCAGGTTCAAGCAATTCTCCTGCCACAGCCTCCCAAGGAGCTGGGACTACAGGCACGCACCACTATGCCCAGCTAATTTTAGTATTTTAGTAGAGATGGGGTTTCACCATGTTGGCCAGGATGGTCTCAATCTCTTGACCTCGTGATCCACCTTCCTTGGCCTCCCAAAGTGCTGGGGTTACAGGCGTGAGCCACCACACCTGGCTAGAACCCCCAGATTTAAAAGATATCTACTTCTAAACCATCATGGTATTGCACTCTGCTTTTCATTCATTTATTTATTCACTCAAATATTTATCAAGGACTATTTCCTATATCAGGAAGCACTGTGCTTGGTTCTGTGGATACAATAAGAACAAGACAGCCTTCAAAGAGCTCACAGTCCACTACAGAAGAGACTTGTCCATAGCTATAGTTAAGCCTAAAATGACAGTCATGTATAGGCACACGCACACTTGAAAAGAATTAAAAATAAAGTACCATAAGTATGTTAAAGATTACCTCTTTAACATACCTACCAGCTAACTCAGGTAGGGGAATCAGCACTGCCAGGTCCTGTTCAAAAATATTTTTGTACCATGGAGTACGAGAAACATATGACAACCTTTTTACATGGAAGAAATCAGGCCTGTTTAAAGACAATGGATAGGAAAGCTGTTCTAAAGTATGGCAGAAAGGTGGGGGAAATTATCCTTTGGGGAAGAGTTTCAAATACATATATGTAGACCTACTAGGTAACATGTATTTTTGGATTCTGCAGAGAAAACAAAACCACATCTACCAAATAAATTATCAATAGACCTGTCAAAAATAAAAATGATTATGACACAATGCATTTTTATTTCTCATTGGTCTGGTCTGACCACCCATGGAGTGTTACAGCTGAAGCTTTAAACACCAGAATTATTTTCTGGAAAGGATAAGTTAAAATTAGGTATTTAAAATGGCCCTCTCAGAAATATGGCAGGACAGAAAACACATTTCTTAGAAATGATCATAACTTTTCATGAAATAAACATCTATCATCTAGGGAAATAATCAGAAATATGCACAAACAGTATTTTGTGTGTGTATAGCTTTATTAGTTACAGAACAAATTTCTACAAGTAACGAGAATGCTCCAAAATAGAAGCCATGTTATATACGTTATTGTATAGTGGTATACTATTCCACAATGTACTTTGTGGCCTAGTGATTAAGTGAGAATACTAGAAGCAGACAACCTAGGGACAATCTGAGATTTGAATCCCTGCTCTGCCACTTGCAAGTCATATAAATTTGAGTAAGTGACTTTCTCTCTGTGCCTCAATATCTTCATTTTCAAAGTGAAGTTAATAGTATCACCTGTCCTATAGAATTGTCCTGAAGATTAAATGACAGTGGTAACTGGCACACAGTAAGTATTTAATACATATTAACCATTATTACAATATACTCTGCAACCGTTAAAAATATTGTAGACTAGGCTGGGCACAGTGGCTCACGCCTGTAATCCCAGTACTTTGAGAGGCCAAGGTGGGCAGATTACTTGAGTCCAGGAGTTCAAGACTAGCCTGGGCATCATGGTGAAACCCCGTCTCTACAAAAAAAAAAAATACAAAAATCAGCCTGGCATGGTGGCACACATTTGTAGTCCCTGTAATCCCAGCTACTCAGGAAGCCCAGATGGGAGGATCGCTCAAGCCCTGGAGGTGGAGGCAGCAGTAAGCCAAAAGCCTGCCACCGTACTCCAGCCTGGGCAACATGGTGAGACCCTGTTTTCAAAAAAAAAAAATTATAGGCTAGCGGAATATATTAGGACACTGCATATTATTTGAAATATATTGTTAGGTTAAGAAAACAGAAGATGTAATATTATGCTGAGTAAAAAATTTCTAAATTAAAAAGTATGTATATGTGAATATACATGAAATGCTAGAAGAATGTGTATAAAATATTACCAGTAGTTATCTCTGTACAGTGAGATTGTGGGTGGCTTTTTTTCTTATTTGTTCAGTTCTATATTTCCTAAGTTCCCTCTAATTAACATATGATATATTTATAAAAAGAAAATAAGAATAAATTAGTCAAAAACGACCTTCCCATTCACATGCTCTGTCCCAGTATAAGAAATTTTTTTTATGACATCCAAAGATTTGGGGCTGGAAAACTCCTGCATCGGGCAATTGTACAATTTTCATAAACCAGCTATTTTACTGCAGAAGAATTCTGTATCTTTGAATTAAAAGAAGCTATTTTGAACATCTGAATATTGGGCAGTATCCACATAACATTTTAGTTAAAAACATGTTCTTTTAACAAGAGTCTGCAGCTCGGTTTACATAACCTCTTTAATCACTGAATTTAAAGCAAAATAAACTCAAATGTACCACAGAAAAGTTAAATCTAAGTGGACTGGGTATGTAGTGGACTTCTCATTTAATGAACTGTGGTCATCTTCAAAACACCATCTGGAGGAGATTTTTTTGTTTGCATGACTTAGATTTTTTTACTAAATAGGGTCAAAGAATGAGGAGTCTTTTCTAGTCTAGTACTAAAATTTCTTTTATGAGTTGCCCTAGTTAGCTAGAAGCATTCAAGAATTTCCTTCTCTGGGAATTTTAAAGAAAGGCTTTCACATCACCCCCCAGCCCCACACACACTGCAAATTGTGAGGTCTCCTGGACAAGGAGTGAGTTCATCCCACTTTAATGGTATTTCTCACTATTTTTTACTATAAAATACTAAATGACTGAATTGTAATGCTTCTACCGCAAGACATAAGTGAATAACTATTGACTGCCTCAAAACAAGAAATAAGCATGAATGCCTGAGATTTTCCCCGAATGTCCCATCCAAGTCAATATGTCTTTCACGTGTGCAGCATGAAAGCTGTTATCATCTGCAGGGTGCTTTCAAATGAACACTGAATTTGTTGGAATCAGAGACACAAATTAGGGTTTTTACAACATCTATTTAATGTTGCCAGGAAGATTTGTTCCAATCTCCTGAATTGTATTTTAAGCAAGAACTTTCCTCTTTCTTCAACAAATCAATTTACCAGACCATAAAGCTTTGGAAAATATTTAAGCTATAATAAGCAGAACACAGCTGAGAGAAGACATCACCCCCACCCCCCGCAAAAAAACACAGTTTTAACAGCATCCTCAAGGATTCACAAGTATCAAAGCCTAAGTAATGGAGCAAGAAAGACAGATATTAGGATGACCACAGTTTGTGAAAAATTCCTCTTCTTCCCTTTCTTTTGAAAATAGCCCATGGGCACCCAAGCAAAATCTAATTCTGGGACTGGCCCAGGGCACTTTCACCTTTAAAAGCAGCTCCACCTTGTCTACGGTCACTCTGTTTGGGCAAACCAAAAATAAAGCAACACATAAAACAAGGCATGAGTAGATGAAAAAAAAAGCCATGGCATAATTCATGAAAAAAAAAAGCTCCTGAAAATATAGTACTATATCATTTGAGGACTCTGTCTTCAACATGAGAGCCAAAAATAGTTTCTTCATCATCCTGTAAGTATTATCAAAGACCTACTGCGTACTAGGCACTTCATTGAGGACTGGGAATTCAGGGGTGAACAGACAGTCCAAGCCCTTGTTTTTGAGGACCTGGAGACAAACAAATGAATAAATAAATTCTAGAACTTCAGGTATGGTAAGTACTATGAAGATAATGAGAATTGTAGATAATGATTACTAACTACCTGTATTCTGACTTATTTTAGAGAACTGTACAATTTTTTTTTTCTTTTGAGACAGAGTATCACTCTGTCATCCAGGCTGGAGTTCAGTGGCATGATCTTGGCTCACTGCAACCGCTGCCTCCCGGGTTCAAGCAATTCTCGTGCCAAATAACTGGGATTACAGGCATGCACCACCACACCTGACTACTTTTTGCATTTTTAGTAGGGACAGGGTTTCACCATATTGGCCAGACTGGTCTTGAACTCCTGGCCTCAAGTGATCCACCTGCCTTGGCCTCCCAAAGTACTGGGACTACAGGCGTGAACCCCCCTGTGCCTGGCCCTATTCTCCACCCTATTTGTTGGAATCACAACTAGGAGCTGTTCCAGGGGTATCCAAGAAAGCTTTCTGGAGATTGTGTTAGTTTTCTATGCTTGCTGTAACAAATCACTACAAATTTGGGGACCTAAAACAGCACAAGCTTATTATCTCACGGTTTCTGTAGGCCAAAAGCCCAGGTGATCTGACTGGGTCTTCAGTTTGGGGTTTCACGAGGCTAAAATCAAGGCTGTTCTTTATTGAGGGCTCTGGGGAAGAATCCACTGCAGGGCTCATTCCGGTTGTTTGGTGGAATTCAGTTAATTGAGGTTGTAGGACCAAGGTTCTTGTTTCCTTATTGGCTGTCCAAATTCCTTCTCATTCCATGTGGCCCCTTCCAACAATGGCAAGTTGAGTCCCTCATGCTGAGAATCAATCTGAAGTCTCCCTCCACCACATCTCTCTTTCTTCCATCCCCAGCCCTGAGATAACTCTGTTTAAAGGTTCATTTGATTATCTGAGGTCCACTTGGATAATCCATGATAATCTCCCTATCTTAAGACCTGTAACCTTAATTACATTTGATATTGTGAACAATGGTGTCTGTTTACTTACCCCTACAGAATCTGATGGGTAGGGCTATTCTTCTCCTTCTAGGACATTCACTTGGCCAGAAGATTGTACGACATGGCTGCTCAAACGAGTCCAGATGCCCACATACCTGTGCTCTTTGCCGTCATGAAACTGGAAACTACGCATTTGCTCCGGGATATCCTGTTTTTTAATGTAAGTTTGTCTTGAACAGGTCCTGAATCTCTGAAAGTCTCCAGTGAGCAACTCTTAGGGACAAAGTGACAAGGCCCATCAGGGAGTCTCTTGTGGACTGGCTTTCCTTTGAGAAGTAAAATTCAGAGTCTTACACTTGCCATGCAGAGTAATTCTGCATGTTCTATTGAGTATGTGTTGACACTTCAGAGTATAAGCAATTAATTCATTCAGCAGATGTTCTTTTCCAGTACACACTACATTCAAAGCCTTAAGCACAGTGACATGTGCTATATATACTTCTTCAAAACAGTTCTTACCATCAATAGCCGAGACTGGTAGGCAGACGGCAGGTGGCAAGGGATACCACAAACAGCTACAGTTTGAAAAAAAGTAAAGTGTCTAAATCTTTGGGGTTATTCTAAAGGTGCTATTTAAGCCCCTTGTGGAAGATGTAAGCAAGCGAAGATTGTGTCTTCCAAGACTGAAGGAAGCAAAGGGAATGGGTGGGAGGAGGGTTGGTGGTGGTGGGTTTGGGAAGAGATGGTGGCTCTGAGTGGAGGTGGGAAGCTTGGATTGTTTTTGAGAGAATGTCTCTTGCCAGCAGTTCACAACGAGATGGAACTGGCTGAAACTGGACAACACCATTGGACCACACTGGGACTTATTTGTGATTGGCCTCATTGTTCCTGGGCTGATTTTGTTGCTTAGAAATCACCATGGGTAGGATGCGGATCACAGGAAAACCTGCTCACGGGAATCAGTTCACTCCAAGGTATCCCCACTAAATAAACAGTTTCCCATCCAAATCAAGAGTCCGCTGCAGTTTCCCGCTCAGGGCTGTGATGGGAAACAGACAAGACTTGGGGACCATCCTAGAGAAACAACTTCAGACTTCCTGCTTAGTAGAGAAAACCCTTTGCGGGATGCTGGGAACTGGTCACCTAAGACCTTGTTACCAATCTGTCATCTTGGTGACCTAGTCCCACGTTATGAATAAAGACCACCCATTTTCATGTTGTTAGAACAACCTCCCCTCTGTCAAGAGGACGCACTGGGTTTCCTGACTCCTACAGACAAACTAAGGTGAAGAGAAGGGGGAGTTTGGAGAAGGCA
This sequence comes from Homo sapiens, assembly GCF_000001405.40. Taxonomy (NCBI): domain Eukaryota; kingdom Metazoa; phylum Chordata; class Mammalia; order Primates; family Hominidae; genus Homo; species Homo sapiens. Next base: position 57,646 of record NW_025791811.1, on the reverse strand, counting down.
GAAATCCAGATCCCTCAGAATATGATAAAGACACAAATATACAAATAGACCTTGTACAAGCACATCCTATAGGAATGACCTGTGAGAGACTCTGGAGCCCTAATGAGTCACAGCTTCCCAGGGCATGTCGTACCTGAACGAGGGAATGGGGGTTGACCCGGGCTCTTCACTGAGAGGCCTCTCTCAAAGCTCCCTTAGTAGCTGTGTTAGTGAACAAAGCCAGTACAGCATCACACCCCTCTCCTCCATCCCTCATCAGAACCCTGTTCTCCCTGGGGCGTCCCCCTTAGTACCCCCTTAGAAGGAGATTATTCAAGCCTCCTAGGATGAAAGCTAAAAGGCCCAGATTCTCTGGCTTCTCTGACAGGCAAATCAGGGGCCCAGGCCTAAGGGACAGGGGCTGGTAAGGAGAGTGTAAGAGGCCTAGGACATATGTCAAGGGCCAGGCTCAAATCCCGGCTCCAGATATTTGTATTTTCTTCTTCTTCTTCTTCTTCTTCTTCTTCTTCTTCTTCTTCTTCTTCTTCTTCTTCTTCTTCTCCTTCTCCTTCTCCTTCTCCTTCTCCTTCTCCTTCTCCTTCTTCCTCCTCCTCTTCTTCTTCTTCTTCCTCTTCTTCTTCTTCTTCTCCAGATATTTGACTTCTTCTTCTTCTTGTTCTTCTTCTTTCTTCCTCTTCCTCTTCTTCTTCTTCTTCCTTTTCTTCTTCTTCCTCTTCTTCTTCTTCTCCAGATATTTGACTTCTTCTTCTTCTTCTTCTTCTTCTTCTTCTTCTTCTCCTTCTCCTTCTCCTCCTCCTTCTCCTTCTCCTTCTCTTCTCTTCTTTTCTCTAACCTTCTCTTCTTCTTTTCTCTCTTCTTATTCTTCTTCATCTTCGTCTTCTACTTTTCTTCTTCTTTTTTTTTTTTGAGACGCAATTTCCCTCTGTCCCCCAGGCTGGAGTGCAGTGGCAAGATCTCGACTCACTGGAACCTCTGCCTCCCGGGTTCAGGTGATTCTCCTGCCTCAGCCTCCTGAATAACTGGGATTACAGATGCCTGCCACCACGCCCGGCTAATTTTTGTATTTTTAGTAGAGATGGGGTTTCACCATGTTGGCCAGGCTGGTCTCAAACTCCTGACCTCAAGTGATCCTCCAAAAGTGCTGGGATTGCAGGCATGAGCCACCACACCCAGCCAATATTTGACTTCTTGAGCCTCAGTTTCCTGGTGTGCAAAAAGGGAAGAATAATGCCTATCTTAGACAACTGATATTAAGATTAAGTGGGATAATGGATGTAAAGAGACTGGCACAGGGCCTGGCACCTAGAATGAGTTCCATAATTGGTAACTTTTAATATCCTTTAAAAAACTCATGGCAAATCCATTGGGGAGAGAGCTGAGTTGGTAACAATCTGTGTGGCTTCAGCGCTTTGCAGTTAGTTCTCCAGCTAATGTGCTAGGTGCTTAGGTAGGAAGAGATCTTGCTTGCTTACTTAAAAATCCAATTTAGGGACATGAAAATTTAATTTATAATGTCAACCGTAATCAAAAGGTAGGATGAAATGGTGGACATGCACTGAGTTTGGGATCAAACAACTTGGATTTGAAGTCCAGCTCTGTCCCTTAGTAGCTGTGTAACTTTGGGGATAACTTTTCCAAATCTCAGCTTTTCCTCCATAAAATGGGATTATTTCCTACCTCACTGAAGAATTGTGAAGCTTAAATAAACCTAACATCAAAAGTGCTTTATAAATATAGCACACACACATACTGGCCACAGTCATTTATTTGGCCAGGAACGAATCCAGGTGGTGGATTCTGAGGTCCAAGTGTTTAGAATTTGGGGGTCATGTCCCTGACTTATTAGGGAGTTCCAGTTCCCAGGGATGCAGCCTAGTTTATAGAAATGTGCAGGAAGGGGCAGCATCCAAATCTCAGGTCAGGACGTCATGGAGAGGGCAGCCATGCTATGACATCTCACAGGTGTCAGGAATGTGAGCACATTAAGGACCAGGATGAGAACAGAGAGGGGAGCGCAGAAGGCAGCATTGGTGAGCCCTGCCTCAAAGTCTGGATGAACATGAGCTCCTTAGAGGTAAACTTCTGGGAGTGACTGCAGGCAGGAAAGAAAGGGAGACCTGTTTGGGGACTTGCTGTGTAGAGTAGAACACTGCCTGAAATATAAGAGGGAGGGCAGCCTGAGTTGATATGTTTCCCATTTCAGCTAATTGTTCCATGTCAATGTGAGACATGGAGCAAGCTTTGAAAGCAGGAGTGCTTTAGGCAGTTTCAATCATTCAAATGTCCATTTCTGGGCCTCTTCTCCTGGAGCCGCCACGGTAGCGGTTCTCACCACCTCTGTGCATGGTTGGGCATCTTGCAGCCTCTGGACATCTCCGAGATGACTGACAGAGGGAGGGAGAGAGCCTCCTGCCTGAAAGCCACTGATGTTTCTCGGTTATTGCAAAATCCCACCCACTCTATGGGCACACAGAGCCCTTCTTCATTTTCTTACTTCTGATGCTTTGAATAAAAATGGATAGCCTGTGGGCTACAAGATATCTAGTTTTTTTGTTTGTTTTGTTTTTGTTTTCGTTTTTTTTGAGATGGGGTCTTTCTCTGTCACCCAGGCTGGAGTACGGTGTCACGATCTTGGCTTACTACAACCCCCGTCTCCCAGGTTTAAATGATTCTGCTGCCTCAGCCTCCCAAGTGTACGCCACCACACCCAGCTAATTTTTGTTGTTTTTTTTTTTTTTTTATGAGACAGTCTCACTCTGTCGCCAGGCTGGAATGCAGTGGCCCAGTCTTGGCTCACCGCAACCTCCACCTCCCAGGTTCAAGTGATTCTCCTGCCTCAGCCTCCTGAGTAACTGGGACTACCGGTGCGCACCACCACACCCAGCTTTTTTGTGTGTGTGTTTTTAGTAAAGACGGGGTTTCACCATGTTGGTCAGGATGGTCTCGATCTCCTGACTTCGTGACCCGCCCACCTCGGCCTCCCAAAGTGCTGGGATTACAGGCGTGAGCCACTGCACCTGGCCTAATTTTAGTATTTTTAGTCGAGACGGGGTTTCACCATGTTGCCCGGGCTGGTCTCGAACTTTTGACCTCCAACGAACTGCCCGGCTTGGGCTCCCAAAGTGCTGGGATTACAGATGTGAGCCACTGAGCCTGGCCCAAGGTATCTGTTTTTTAAAAAATCTAATTCTTGGTTTTGTGCAGTGGCTCACACCTGTAATCCCAGCACTTGGGGAGGCCGAGGCGAGCGGATCATGAGGTCAAGAGATCGCGACCATCCTGGCCAACATGGTGAAACCCTGTCTCTACTAAAAATACAAAAATTAGCCGAGCATAGTGGCGGGCGCCTATAATCCCAGCTACTCGGGAGGCTGAGGCAAGAGAATCACTTGAACCCAGGAGGCGGAGGCTGCAGTGAGCCGAAATCACACCACTGCACTCTAGCCTGGTGACAGAGTGAGACTCTGTCTCAGGAAAAAAAAAAAAAAAAAAAAAATCTAATTTGCTTTTGTGACTCCCTTGATTTCCTCCCCCAATTCTTCATTAAATTGGAGTAGCTCTTCAAGTAAATCCATTTTTCAAAGGCAAGTCAGGTAAATAATTTTGTTTCTCTGGAGCAGGGGTCCAGAGTCATTTTCTCAGTAACATTCTCCTGGAATTCTTTTCTCCAAAATCTTGAGTAGTGGAGGTGCTATATAGTTTGCTGCATTCCCCTCACTGGGCATCCCAGAAAGCCCTAGAGAAGAGGGCATGGTGAGGCTGAGAAGAGAGGAAAGAAACATTTTGAAGCACCTGCTATGAGCCAGGCTCTGTTTCCATCTGTTTTCTCATTTCATCTTCATGATGAGGCTAGGAGGTAGCTAGAATGACCTCTGTTTAACACAGGAGGAAACTGAGGCCAGAAGAAGCTAGAAAAGATCACGTAGCTGATAAATAATGGAGCTGTGATTTGAGTCCAGATCTAACACCACAGATGTTCTTTCCTCTATGTTACGGTTCCAGTTATTGCTTGCTTCTTAACAAACTTCTCCAAAAGTTAGGGTCTTAAAACAACAATCACTTCATTTTATCTCAAGATTTTGTGGGTCAGGAATTTGGGCAGGGTGTGGTCAGGTGATTCTTCTGGTCACTTAGTGGATGGGCTGTTCTAGAATCCAAGACAGGTTTACTCACTCAGCAGTGACTGTTGACCAGTATACCCACATCCCAGATGCGGCCTCTTGGCATGGTGGACAGAGCATTTGGGCTTTTTACACTGTAGCTCAGCATTCCCACAGAGAATGTTCACAGAGACACAGGCAAAAGCCACAGCTTTGCTAAGACCAAGCCTCAGAAGTTCCAGAACATCCCTTCCACCATGTTCCGTTAGTCAGGCATTATACTCCGTCTCTCAGTGAGAGAAGTAGCAAAGAATTTGCAGCCATATTTAACCTACTATAAAAGATACTGTTTAAAAATCTACCAATGGTTACATAAATTACAGTACAAAAATTGGCAGAAAAAAAATGCAGCCCAAGCCTGAGCTGCCTGTTTTGGAAAACAAGGATTAGACAGCCCAGTTAGACGCGTGCCTGGCTCTCTTCATCTTCCCACCTTTCAGACTGAAGAAATGCAGATGTGTGAAGGTAAGTGGAGGGGGGAAGAGATGTCCTCCTCTGTTCCTTAGCTAAACACACACACACCCTCACATTGGCCGCTACACACACGCACACACACACACACACACACACACACTCTTGAATAATGCTTAGTTCTTTGCTTTGGCTCAAGAGACATGAGCCAAGAGATGCAGAGTCCCAGCATGGTTGGGACTCTCTGTCTGGGGCACCCTAGGTGCAGGCTCCACTCCTGTGTCTCAAGATTCATTCCTGACACGCAGTGGGTGGGAGACACACCCCAGACCCTCTCAACCACCTCCCATCCTCATTCAATTTCCGTTCCCGAACCCACAGTCCCCATAAGCCTAGCTCCTCTGCCTCAGCTCCTGGCTGAGGTCCTCCTGTGGGGATATGACCTTTAGCATGGGTTGCTGTCAGCCATCCTCTGCCCTAGGGTTCTGCTGCTGGATGGGGGAACACAGGAAATTGTGCATCCTTGGAGTGGAGAGTGAGAAAAGCAGCCCTCACTATGGACTGGCCTCTAGATGGGAATGTATCAAATAAATAAATTGAACTTCTCGTGAACTGTGATGGTCGATCTTATGCTCATGTGTTCCCTAAGCCTTATTATGCACAAAGAGCATCTACTTCTTCCCAGTTTTTCTTTTTTCTTTAGAGATGGGGTCTCACTATGTGGCCCAGGCTGGATTGGAATTCCTGTGTTCAAGTGACTCTCCTGCCTCAGCCTCTTGAGTAGCTGGGACTACAGGCACACACCAGTGTGTCCAGCTCCCAGCTTTGGGTTTTAATATCAAAGTTACCCCCTTATTAGTTTAGCACTGGGTGGCGCTGGGCTAGGTATTAAAGTGTGGGAAAAACCCTTCCAAACCATCCTGCTAGTCAGGTAGTTACTGACTGGAGACTCATGGTCTAGAAAATTCATGGTTTTGAATTTTCAAATTTTAATTTTACATTGCATTTTATCCTATCTTCGAGTAAGTGATTAGAAAACCCAGAACTCCCATTATTAAAAATAAACCTTCACAAATTGTCTGGCCACGAATGTCACCTTGACATTGTTTCATTTTCAGCAACTTCAATGAGCTTTACCTGAAAATTACTCCAAGTTCTTCCAGGCTCTCCCACTGTCTTGTACTGTTCCCCACATCATTTAGCAACAAGAACACATGGACCCATGGCCGGGGGCAGTGTCTCACACCTGTAATTCTAGCACTTGGGAGGTCGAGGCGGGTGGATCACCTGAGGTCAGGAGTTCAAGACCAGCCTGGCCAACATGGTGAAAACCCCATCTCTACTAAAAATACAAAAATTAGCTGGGCATGGTGGCAGATGCCTGCAATCCCAGCTACTCGGGAGGCTGAGACAGGAGAATTGCTTGAATCCGGGAGGTGGAGGTTGCAGTGAGGCCGAGATCATGCCATTGCACTCCAGCCTGGGTGACAAAAGTGAAACTCTGTCTCAAAAGAAAAAAAAAAAAGAACACACTGACCCACAGCAGATGCACTGGGAGAGAGTCTCCAAAAAGATTCACTCCTATTAAGAGAACCAAGGAGAAAGGTAGCAATACTCAACCACTGTCTTCACAATAGCAGGCAAATCAGACCAGGACAATGACTCCTCAGCAATATGAGGACCTGTATTCTTCCAACAGCTGTGAGGCCACCTTGGGGCCTGGCCCCAGCAAACTGGGGAAGTAGACACCTGCCCCAGCCAGCACAGAGCAGATGTGAACTGGCATGTTACAGGCCTGGAATGAATCTGCGGTAGGCCAAGTAATTTACACTGAAGGAAACCAAAATATTTGTCCCTAAAATATTGAGGATTGGTGAGCTAAAGACAGCTGAGACGTACGGAGACTCTCTGCCTCTCCTTTGTTTGCCTAAAGGCAGGACATAAATCCCGTCTTACTGGAGATAGCCACTTATCAGCCTAGAGACGGCACTAGCAGACACCAGAGAAACCTGCGAGCAGACCTTACTTCATGAGTATCTTCCCACAGCTTTCCCCCTTTGAGAGACTGGAACTGTTCTCTCCTTTGTCTTGTCACTGCACTAAAATTCATTGCTTTTTGTTAAAATGCTACTTAAACAAAGCTTAAAGCCTCAGGTTTCCAGCCAATGCTTTGAGAGTCACTTTGCAGAGTTACTTTTCTCCCCCATGATGGACACGGCATGTATACATTATTAAGCATACCTGTTTTTCCTTTGTTGATCTGTCTTTTGTTTCAGAAGGGTGACTCAATTATGAATTTATGAGAGTGGCAAAAAGATTATATAATTTTCTCCCCTTCCACACATTATACAGAAATCTGAAACCAAGCAGGAAGAGGAGTCAATGTCATAGTTCCGAAGAAAAGGGCCTCCCTTAAGAAAGCCTCATATACATTTCAAATTTCAGCCATGTGGTTGTCTTCATTTAGGTTCCCCCAGAAGCTGACCATGAGACGAGGATTTTTGCATGCAAATAGTTTATTTGGTAAGTTATATTCAAGAAATATAAATAAGGAAGGAAACCAGTACAGAGAGTTATCAAAAAAGTTGCCAGGCTGGGCGCAGTGGCTCACACCTACAATCTCAACAATTTGGGAAGCTGAGGCAGGAGGATCACTTGAGCTCAGGAGTTCAAGACCAGCCTGGGCAATGTAGAAAGACCTTGTCTCTACAAAAAATAAAAGTAAAAAACTAGCCAAGCGTGGTGGTGCATGCCTGTAGTCCCAGCTACTTGGGAGGCTGAGGTGGGAGGATCACTTGAGTCAAGGAGGTTGAGGCTACAGTGAGCTGAGATCACGCCACTGCACTCCAGCCTGGGTGACAAAGTGAGACCCTAGTCTCACAAAAAAAGGTACCACTGTGAGTCACCAGAGCTCAGTCCCACTGGGGAACTCTGGTATAGAGCACGCACCTCATGGTTATCCCACCCAAGGGACATGAGGGCAGGATATTTATTCACAACTGCTCACAGTCATTGGTTGAGCAGTGCTTTAAGTGGAACATTAATTTTCCGTACTTCCCACCCCCCATGTAGGAAGGTGGAGCCAACAGGGAAAGCCCTTGGGAAATGGATGCAGGTGCTTGCAGTTAGCAGCTTTGCCTCCCAGCAATGAGAAGCCCCGAGGGGATGGGGCCAGGGCACTGGCAGCATCTGGGGCAATGATTAAGAGCTGCTTTCCTGACCCTCCCACCCTTTCCTTCAATAAACAATTCCCTGAGCACTTACAGTGTCCCAAGCACTCTGCCAAGGACCCAGGAAGGAAGAGCTGCCCTCAGGAAGCTTGCAATGTGTGCTGTAGAAGAGAGAAGCCTCCATTATTAGGGCATCTACTCTGTGCCAGTCACTTTCCTGGAGCTAGCTCACTGCATCCACCCAGGCATTCTGTGAGGTAAGATTCTTCTTCTCATTTTATAGACATGCCATGCAACCATCTGATTACTTCTTCAGAACAGTGTAACCGTCAGCAGAGGATATTTAAAAGCAGGATCGTAGTATCGATGCTAGCTGATGAACAGTTTCCGCCTCTAGAAGAAACGCAGATGCGAGCAGAGTAAATGGGCTGATGAATGCATGCCGTGTGTTGAAAGAACTGAATGCAGTAAGTAGGCTGCAGCCGGGACCTGCTTCAGCCTGGGACCCTGAGTGATGGGGGACAGGAGTGTGGGACATGGTTAGTTCTGCCCTGTTTCCTCCCCTCTTCCCACCCTACCTGCCTCTGCCTCCTCCATGGTTGAAGGGAGTGAGGGTGGTGAGAGGGTGGTTTAAGGAATAGGAAAGATTTCACTAAGCTGGCACATAAGTTATCCAATAAAGGTGCCCGCTGAGCATAGAAGTTCACTGTGTCGACTCCCATGAAGCACTTTTGCTGCTTTCTTGGGGATTCCATGCTGGGAACCTTATGTCCTTGCTTGGGATCTACCAAAAGCACAGCCTGAAACAAGAATTTGGGTATAGGTAGCTCATTTGGGAAGTGATCGCAGGACTCAGAATTGAGGAAGAGAGAAGGATGAAAAGCCATAAAAAAGCATGCGGTTTTAAAGTTACTGCTGTAGGCAATGAGGGTCCTATTCTACCAGGATCTGGAAGGTTTGCAGAAAACCTCCCAGAATTGTCTGCCTGAAAGACAGTAGCCTGAAAGACAGTAGGCTGGGTCACTTCCCACCCGCTCCCTTCCCTGTCATTTAAGGATTGCTCCCAGGGTGCATTAACTGCCCCCTCATCCTTTCTCAGCTGCTTCGGGGATGTCTCTGAGGCAGAACCCGTGCCTTCCCTTAGTGTTAGGCACAGTTAGCAGGAGTCTGCCTTGCACAGAAAGGTCCTCTGCAGCTGCAGTGAAAATCACTGGGCAGTCAAAGCATCTGCTTCATGAGTGAGGTGTTCTGAGCCTTGAGGTCACCCACTGGTCCATGAACAGACTCTCTTGGATGGGACTCTACCTGCAGTAGGCTGAATAATGGCCTCAAAAGACATCCACGTCCTAATCCCTGAAACTGTGAATGTTCCATGTCAGAAAGGGACTCTGCAGAAGTGATTAAGGATCTTGAGAGGGGAGATTATCCTGGATTATCCAGGCAGGCTTTAAATGCAATCACAGGTGTCCTTATAAGAGAGAGGCAGAGAGAGATTTGACATAGACAGAAGAGGGGAGATTATCCTGGATTATCCAGGCAGGCTTTAAATGTAATCACAGGTGTCCTTAGAAAAGGGAGGCAGAGAGATTTGACACAGACAGAAGAGGAGGAGGCAATGTCACTATGGAGGCAGAGAGAGGAGTGATGTGTCCACAGCCCAGGAATGCCAGCAGCGCCAGAAGCCCAAAGAGGCAAGGGATGGGTTCCGCCTTAGAGCCTCTGAAGGGAGTGTCTCAGCCTTCTGGCCTCCAGAACTATGAGGGAATAAATGCCTGTGGTTTTAAGCCACAAATTTCGTGGTAATTTTTTTTATAGCAGCATTAGGAAATGAATACACCATGCACTGGCTCCTCTATGTTCTTTTCCTGGTTCCTGAGGAACACACACTCTTGCTGCTGCTGGTGGTGGAGGGCAGTTAGCTCCCAGGGCAGCCCGGTTTCTCCTGCTGTCTTGCTTCTAGTCTCACTCTCTCCTCAGGCAAGTAGCCTCAGCCTCTCCGCATTTGGCATGTGTCACACCCCAGTCCACTCTGTCCCCCACACTCTAGGACCACAGAGGAGGCTCTCCCAGTGGCTCTCTTATAGCCCCTCTCCTTTGGCCAAAGTTAGGGGCAGAGCTCTCTCTCCCCATCCCCAGTGGGAAATGCAACAGCAATCAGAAAACTCCAGGAAAATTTGGCCTCTGCCCTCCTACTTCCACCTTCAAATGCCCTGCCCCTCACCCCCATCCATTTGCAAGTTCCAGCTCAGAACATCCAGCACCTCATTTTATAAAATTGGGGCCACTTGGCTCTCTTTGTTAACTCTCAGCCTTTGGGCTTCAACCCAAACCAAGCCTCAAAGGGTCCCATTTTATCACCCAGAAAACCCGAACAATTTCACAGTTGAGACCTATGCTCTGGGCTGGGACGCAGCAAATGGCTCAGCCCCAGATGCTCCAGGAATAATGCTGTGGCCTCGGTCACGTTATCTGTCCAGCTTCTGGACGAGTCTACAATTCCAAAGCCACGAAACTGTCAACAGTGTGCGCACCTAAAACTTCTGAACTAAGACAGGCCTCCCTGCCTGTGGGAGGTTAGACAGAAAAGTCTCCCAAAGCCCAAAGAAGTGATGTTTGTGGCCAGGCTAAAGTCCTGTACTGTAAGTTTGTAATGGCTTCCTAAAAATAGTGTTTGCTCACTCTATTCCACAGTCACAAAAAAACCACCTGAGACGTCAGATAGGGAATTTGTTTTTTAATTTAGAAGAAATCATTACCAACAAACGAAAGAAAGAAAAGAAAAGGAAGGTGGAGAAGGGGTGAAGAGACAAGCCTTGGATTCCACGTGAGATTCTGCTCTATGTGGGGCTATAAGTTTTCCCATTTCTGTCTTCCCATCATTCCTCACTCTGCCAGAACGAATTCTGTCTCCCAGAGGTTTTTTTGTTTGTTTGAGCGGAGTCTTGCTCTGTCACCCAGGCTGGAGTGCAGTGGCACAATCTCAGCTCCCTGAAACCTCTGCTTCCCGGGTTCAAATGATTCTCCTGCCTCAGCCTCCCAAATAACTGGGATTACAGGTGTGCACCACCACTCGTGGCTAATTTTTGTATTTTTAGTAGAGACAGGATTTCACCATGTTGGCCAGGCTGTTCTCAAACTCCTGACCTCAAGTGATCTGCCAGCCTCGCCCTTCAAAGTGCTGGGATTACAGGCACGAGCCACCATGCCTGGCCAAGAGTATTTTGTTTGTATGTAATTAATATAGAAAAACTACTTATCTCCTTTAAGACACATTCTTTTTATAAGAAAAAGTAGCAACCCATAGCAACAATAAATATGCCATTCTAACAATAGCTTGTTATTAACAAGAAAAATCATAAAAATAAAAATAGCAATTTTACTAGAGGAAACTTGAGGGAGGGATAGTCCTGGGCTGATACACATTTCCAGAGGCAGTCCTTTAAAGTTTTCAAACTCCTGGGGGTGGACAGCCTTTCTTCTCAGCGTCTGCTCCTGGGGAAATGAGAACTAAAGCGACCTGATGAAGAGAGCATTGTTACATTTTCCAGATAAGAACACCCTGGCTCAAATCAGCAACTTGCCTCAGGTCACACTGCTAGTTAGTGGAGAAACTGAGGATTCAAACTCAGGATCCACCCCAAAGCCAGTGCGCCTTCTTCTATGCTATCTCCTCCCATGTTATCTTATTATCTTATTGTCAAACATAGCTTTCACTGTAGTTATCTATCAATTTTCACTTTTCCCATTAAAAATATCAAAGTGGACCCAAAAAATCTACAACCTTATTTTGAAAAAATCTTTTTTTTTTTTTTTTTTTTGAGATGGAGTCTCACTCTGTCGCCAGGCTGGAGTGCAGTGGTGAGATCTCGACTCACTGCAACCTCCGCCTCCCGGGTTCAAGCGATTCTCCTGCCTCATCCACCTGAATAGCTGGGATTACAGGTGCCTGCCACCACACCAGGCTAATTTTTGTACTTTTTAGCAGAGACAGGGTTTCACCATATCAGCCTGGTTGGTCTCGAACTTCTGATCTTGTGATCCACCCGCCTCGGCCTCCCAAAGTGCTGGGATTACAGGCGTGAGCCACTGGGCCTGGCCGAAAAATCTTTTTTAAAAAATTCATGTTTCAAAGCATCTTAGAGAAAACCTGACCAACATACAAAGCCCAGAAAGACATCATCAATTTTGCTATGTGATTTATTAACAACTCAGAATGGAATGTTGATTGTGATCAATCAATACTATTGACCAATTGATTGTGATTGTTTTCTGAGCTACACTAACTTTCCACAGTCTGATTTCCTCTCCCATTACTGCCCCTTCCCACTGTATGTAAATATGCCTTCCAAAGATAACTCCCTTTCCTCTGGAATAGATACCCCAGTGCCCTACCCATGTCCCCTCAGCCCAGTTCTGAGACCACTGGCATCTTCCATGGGTAGGCCCCTTGCCAGCTTTGGATTTCTACCTCAGACATCTGCCCCTGGGGAGGTTCTCTGGCTGCAGGAGCACTATTGGCCACAGGAAAGGTAGACCAGAAGTGCCCGGGAGTTAATGCTCCCAGCACCCCTCCACCAGTGACAGGCAGGAACAGTTTCCTTGACCCTTGGTGGGCTGATGTGCAGAGTACATTCTGTAAAGTTTCTCAGAAGGTGTCCAGCAGGATTGAGCCCCAGTTGTTCACTGCAGAAATCTGCTCATGAACGCATTCTTATTGGTTTTCTTCCTTCCCACTTTTCCACTCCCTCATCTTCCCACTCCTTGCCAAATAAACTACTGCACTCAAATCGTTATCTCAGAGTATGCTTTTTAGGGAACCTATAGCAAGAAGAAAAAGTCTAAGGAAAGATCATGTTAAACATTCCAGAAGACACAGAGATAACTACCAGGTTGGGAATAAAATCAATGTTTGTTTACATACCCAGTACATTGTACACTGGGTATGGAAGCAGGGGCCACTGTAAAATTTGCTCACTTTTGTGTTTTCAGCACCTCACATTGTTCCTGCACAATAAATGAATAATGAATGAATGAATGAATAAATTAATGAACAAATAGATGAGGATTCCTAGCTTTCTCCTAAGGTTAAAGTGAGAAGTTATTCTAATTAATGCCAAAGAAAGGACTAGGATTATAAAAAAAGAAATATGAAATGAAATAAAGAAAACAGACTTTGTTTTCCTCGATTCTCACAGGACACTTCTGACATCAAATATGTAGGAGGTTTTTCAGCAACGAATTCTCTAACTCTCTGGACACCTACTGAGTGTCCCACATTTCAATTCAATTCTAACACTACTTAGAATTAGCTTTAGATCCCACAAATCAGAGGGCTCAGTCCCACAAGACTGACTGCCTGTTCAGATGCCAATCACAAGTAGCAGATTTCCAGGTTGCCCACACTTCTGTCTGCCCTGGCTACACATTGGGGGTTGCCACAAGCCCCTCCTCAGGTTTGATAATTTGCTATAATGGTTCACAAAACTCAGGGAAACATTTGCTTACATTTACTGGTTTATTAAAGAATACTGAAAGGACAGAAATGATGAGCCAGGTGAAGAGGACATAGGGTGAGTTCTGGAAGGGCCTGGAGGAGTGAAGGAGTTTCTCCCTCTGTGGACTTGGGGTGTGCTATCCCCCCAGCACATGGATGTGTTCACCAGCCCAGAAGATCTCTGACGCCGCCTTTGGTGGATTTTTATGGAGACTTCATCACATAGGTATGATCAATTATTAACTCAATCTCCAGCCCCTCTCCCCTTCCTGAAAGATGTACAGTGGGGTGAAAAGTTCCAAGGTTCCAAGCTCCTGATCAGGCCTTGGTCTTTCTGGCATCCAGCCCCTATCCTGAAGCTAGCCAGGAGCCCATCAAGAGTCACCTGATTAGAACAAAAGATGCTCCCATCACCCAGGAAATTCCAAGAGATTTAGGAGCTCTTTGTCAGGAACCAGAACTGGGGTCAATGACCAAATATTAGAGTAAAAGACACCCAGCACCCCAATCACTTAGGAAAGTATGAGAATTTTAGAAGCTCTGTGCCAGGAACCAGGGATGAAAACCAAATATATGCTTCTTATTACATAATATCACATGAAATGATGTAATAATGTAAACAATCATCTATAAAATTTGAATAAATGGAAACATACTATTGTGTTCGAACAGGACAGTGCCAAAATATAGAGATTAATTTTTCCAAAATGAATCTTTAAATATAATACATTCTTGGCCGGGCGTGGTGGCTCACGCCTGTAATCCCATCACTTTGGGAGGCCGAGGTGGGCAGATCACCTGAGGTCAGGAGTTCGATATCAGCCTGGCTAATATGGTGAAATCCCATTTTTACTAAAAATACAAAAAATTAGCTGGGCGTGGTGGTGCGCACCTGTAATCCAAGCTACTCAGGAGGCTGAGACAGGAGAATGGCTTGAACCCAGGAGGCGGAGGTTGCAGTGAGCCGAGATTGCACCATTGCACTCAAGCTTAGGCAACAAAAGCGAAACTCCATCTCAAAAATAATAATAATAATAATACATTCTTAATAAAAATACCAACAAAGTGCTTTTTAAACTAGGTCAGTTGCTTCCAAAGTTTGTAAGGAAAAATAAACATAAATGAATGGCAAGGACAATTCTGGAAAAGGAGAGTAATGAGAAAGAAATAGCTAAACAAGCCAATAAAATATAAAGCTATGATAATTAATCCATTTGAATAAGACAGCATAGAGCATCCAGAAATGACCCAAATACATAAGGTGGCATTTCAAATCAATGGAGAAGGGAGGGTGTGGTAGTTCGCGCCTGTCATCCCAACACTTTGAGGCAAAGGTGGGAAAATTGCTTGAGGTCAGGAGTTTGAAACCCGTCTCTACAAAAATTTAAAAAATTAGCTGGGCATGATGGCACATGCCTGCAGTCCTACCTATTAATACTTGGGAGGCTGAGGTAGGAGAATTACTTGAGCCCAGGAGCTTGAGGGTGTAGTGCACTATGATCGCACCACTGCACTCCAGCCTGGGTGATGGAGTGAGATCCTGACTCTAAAAAACAAAAAGGGGCAATGGTAGGTTATCCAGAATTGTATTGTAGTATAGGGTAGCCCACTGGAAAAAATAAATTCAAATCCCTATCTCACAAGTTTCATTGAAAGAGATTTCACACAAGCAAAGATTTAAATGTAATAAATAAATGAACCTGTAAAACTATTACAAGAAACGTGGACTTTGTTTGCTTTTACAATCTAGAATGGGGAAGCCCTTTTTTGACCCGATTAAACAAATTCAGCTGCTCCAGGCACAAATTTTGTAGTTTAAGAGCAGCTTGTGGCCAAGCCATCTTCCCAATATGTTCTATATCAGGACACACCAAGGAAACAGAGTGCTGAGAACTTCGGCGCTCATTAGGGAACTAGAGTCCTAGAAAAATGAAAGAAGCAAAAGCTTTGTGCACGTAGGCCCATAATAATTAGCCCAAGGCTGGTGTTTCCTGGGACAGTTATTAACATAAGGTCTTCTGAAGTTCCTCAAAAAAGCAGTGACAATCTTCTGGTTCTTAGTTTCTCCCTGTACTGGCCTGTTCATGATTTTAGTCCATAATAGGATGCCATTAAATTAAAACTTCATCAAGTTGACTAAGAAAGCAGGAGACTACGTTATTGAGCTACCGGGGACTAACCATCGAGGCAAATATTCCCCCTAAGTCCAGATTACATTTTACATTTGTGTTATTTTTAAGTGATCTGATAAAAAAAAAAAAAGGACTGAAGTGTGGGAAAACTGGCACTCTGGCATGCTGAGGCTAGACTGGGTGGTTTGGGAGTTTATATCAATTCCACCTCTTGACATTTACAGTAAATAATAACCAAATACATGCATAAAATTAGCTATGAGGATGCTGTTTCCCTGGTGTTATTTATAATGACAAAAAATTGGAAGTCACCTAAATAATACACTAGATAAATAAACTGTCATACATCTAGTCAAGACAACATAGAGCAATTTAAAATGATGCCATTTAATAATATTTACTGACCTGGAAATACCATGTTTTATTGTGATGTGGAAAAAAGCATATTTCAAAACAGTTTATAAAATTTGGTCACAGTTTGTAAAAAAAAAAAAAAGATGTATCTATATAGGTCATATGTTAGAAAATTCTGCAAATGCAGAATGAAAATGGATGTTTCATCACAGTGAAAATGGATGTTTCATCACAATGATTATCTCTGATGGGATTGGCAGAATTAATTTTCTAGAAAGCATAATCTAACCATATGCTGTCTACGAGAAACATGCTCTAGATTCAAAGACATGAATAAGTTTAAAGTAAAAGTTGAAAGAAGGTGTACCATGCAAACAGTAACCAAAAGGACAAAAGTGACTATGCTAGTATTAGACAAAATAAATTTGAAGACAAAAAAAAGGTATTAGAGAGAAAAGGGACATTTTATAATGAAAGAGGGGAAATTTATTAGAAGATGTAACAATTATAAATATATATGCATATAACAACAGAACTCCAAAATCCATGAAGCAAAAACAGACAGAATTAAAGGAAGAAATAGAAAATTCAACAACATTTGTTTAATATCCCATTTTTAATAATGGATAGAATAACTAGGCAGAAGATCATAAAGAACTAGAGGACTTGAACAACACTACAAACCAACTAGACCTAATAGTTACCTATAGAATAACAGCAGAATGCATTATGTAGAAAGCAGTCTGGCAGTTTCTCAGAAAATTAAGCATAGAGTTACTATATGAGCCAGCAATTCTGCTGCTTAGTATACACGTAAAAGAATTGAAAACATGTTTACGTAAAAACTTGTACACAAACATTCATAGCAGCATTATCCACAACAGTCAAAAAGTGGAAACGACCTAAATATCTATCAACAGATGGATATACAGAATGTGGTATATCCATACAATGGAGTATTATTCAGCAATAAAAAGTAATGAAGTATTGATACATGTAACATCATGGATGAACCTTAAAAATATTATGCTAGGTGAAAGAAGCCAGGCCACATATTGTATGATTCCATTTATATGAAATATCCAGAATAGGTAAGTTCCCAGAGACAGAAGGAATTTAGATGAGTTGTAGTCAGGGCCCAGGGGTTGATGGGGAGTGGAAAATGACTGCTAATGGGCATGATGTTTCTTGTGGAAGTGACGAAAAATGTCTTAATATCAAATATTGGTAATGGTTGGACAACTCTGTGAATACACTAAAAACCACTGAATTGTTCACTATAAAAGGGCAAATTTTAGGGTATACAAATGGCATCTCCAAGCTGTAATAAAAAATAAATGGTGACAAATATGACAAAATCTTAACAGTTATTAAGTTAGGGTTTGGGGGATATGAATGTTATTTTATTCCTTAAACTTCACCGTAACTTTTAATAATCTCTAACTTAAAAGAAAAGGGATCCTGGGATAATTTCAGAAAAAAAATGGATTATTCCCTCACCCCCTCTCATAGAGACAGTGGGTGCTCATTAATCAACATTCCACATGCTCCCCTAAATTTCCCAGCCTCCTGGTGACTATGTTGGGCCCAGGTAACCAGTTCTGTCCAATGAACTGTGAGTACAAGTGGTATTTGTCACTTCTAGAAAGGCAAAGCAGTTGAAAGCTGGTGTTTGCTTCCTCCACCCTTCTTTTTTCCTGCTAAGAACTTAGAAACCACAGGATGAGAAAGCGCTAGCTCCAGATGGAGGGCGTGTGGATCTCCCAGTCACTACATGGTGATCCCCTCCCCAACTTACATAGACTAGGCCTGAATGAGAAATAAACTTTTCTTGTGCGAAGCCATTTCAGAGTTTATTTGTAACTGCTGCCTAATCTAGGCTAGTCTAATTAATATATGCCCCACCATAGACAAAAACAAACAATAGATTAAACCATTTTGTGCAGGACCGTTTAAAAAAGGCTAGAAAAAATTTAAAGCAACCTAAAAAAAAAAAATGTTTAAGATCCCAGTGTGGGGAAATAATTTTTAAGCACCAAAGCAATGAAAGTCATCAGAAAGGAAAAGCTGCACAGATTAGGGTAGAAATAAAATAAAATTTTGGAACATTAAGAAAGCCACCATATACAAAATGACAGAAATGAGGGGAAATGTCATAATAAATGTGTCAGTGAGTTAAGGACTGTAACACTTAAACTATGAACTAGAAAAAAAAATGGGCAGGGGATGTGAAAATATAAATCATTTAACACATATGCAACATTTATTTGTGCCACTATTTACAGACACTGTGAGTAGTCTATGCATATATCATTCTTCACCACAGTGATTCTGTAAGGGAGATACTACTATCATGTCCATTTGAAAAGGAGTAGTGAAGCAAGACTCAAAATCACACAGCTAATAAGTGTATTTGAACTTGGTTCTCATCAAATGCCAAAGTTAGCCACTATCCTTCCACAGGAAAGCATGTGAGCTGATACTTAATAATCCAAGCAATGAAAACAATAATATAATGCTAAAGATCTAATAAATAATTATAACCAGTATAGTGAGGGTATGGTGAGACATTCATTCACTTGCTCTTTGTTCATTCATAATTTTTGAACATTCAGTAGTTATTGAAAATCTGTTAGGGTCCAGGAACTTTCCAGGTCCTGGGGATATAACAATGACCAATACAGACCCAAACCCCTGCCCTCCTGGAGCTGACCTACCCAGTTAGTATGAGATGTACAGAGGCATAATTATTCTGGGATAATAAATATCAAGAGCCCTAAATATGTTCACATACTTTAGTTCAGCAATTCTAGTCCTAGTAATTTATTCTACTCATCATGTAGCTGTCTATAATGGGAAAAAGGTTGGAAAAGACATAGTCCTAAAAATAGAAATCATCAAATAATGTGTGGTACATTCACACGATGAAATATGTAGCCATTAAAAATCATACTTTTTAAAAAAGAATGACAGAAAAATGCCCATAGCATAGTATTATTGAAGAAGGCAGGATGCCATACAGTATACAGGATGATTTGATGTTTATTATCTAGGTAGCTAGCTGTTAGTAAAATCTGGAGCGATATACACTGATATTTTAATAGGCGTTGATGGTATTATAGGGTTTAAAAATTTCCCAAAATTTTCACAGTGAACATGAATAACTTTTATAATGATGGTGGGGGTAATTAGAAAAAAATGTTTTCTACCTACGTGTTTTGTTGTTGTTTTGTTGTTGTTTGTTTTTTAAAGAGGCAGAGTCTTGCTGTCACCCAGGCTGGAGTGCAGTGGTGTGATCATATCTCACTGCAGCCTCAAACTCCTGAGCTCAAGTAATCCTCCCACCTCAGCCTCCCAATTAGCTGGGATTATAGGAGCATGCTGCCGCGCCTGGCTAAGAAAAAATGTTTTCTAAAAAGTCTTCGCCATCTTTCAAGAGCCAACTCAAATGGGAAGGAAGACCTCTCCTTGTGCGCTATTTTCTCCTCAGTCTGTACATTCTCCCAGGGCAGTTTCATCCAGCACTCCCATCCTTCCCCTACCTCCAAGCAATCAATCAATCATGAAGGCCTATTGATTACCCTCCCTTTCAATCCTCATCCATGGTCCTCACCCCTGTGCAGTCTGCCTCCACCTCTACCCCTGGGCTCTTGTTACTCTAAATGTTCTGTCTCCTTGATTCCATTCTCCACACTGTATCCAGACAGATCTTTTTTATTTATTTATTTATTTTGAGATGGAGTCTCACCCTGTCACCCAAGCTGGAGGATGGTGATGCAATCTCGGCTCACTGCAACCTCTGCCTCCTGGGTTCAAGTAATTCTCCTGCCTCAGCCTCCCAAGTACTTGGGATTACAGGCACCTGTCACCACTCCTGGCTAATTTTTGTATTTTTAGTAGATACAGGGTTTTGCCATGTTGGCCAGGCTGTCTCGAACTCTTGACCTCGGTTGATCTGCCCACCTCGGCCTCCCAAATTGTTGAGATTACAGGCGTGAGCCACTGTGCCCAACCCAGAAAGATCTTTTTAAAAAAGAAATTGCTTGCCACTCCCTCAATTAAAACTCTTCAGTATTAGCCAGGTATGGTGGCTTGCACCTGTAGTCTCTCTCAGCCACTCAGGAGGCTGAGGCAGGGGAATCCCTTTTGAGCTGAGGAGTTCCAGGCTGCAACGAGCTATGATTGTGTTCCTGCACTCCAGCCTGGGCCACAGATAAAGGCCCTATCTCTAAAACAAAAAGCCAAATACTCTTCAGTGATTGTGCATTGCCTTCAGAATAAGGTCAAACTCCCTGTACTAGTTCTAGCTCTCCCAGAAGCTGACCCTGGGATAAGAACTTGGGTGCTGGTGATTTACTTGGCTGGGAAGCACAGTGAGGGAGGGATGGGAGAAAGACAAAGCAGTTTGAGTAGGTTTTGCATCCTGAAATCCCAGTCCCTATTTAGGTCTCATTAGTGTGTATGGCAAATATGCCTCCTTATTTCAGAGACTGAGACAAAATTAATGATTCTTAAAATCTAGTGTACACAAGAATCATCCAGAGAGCTGTTTTTAAAGTAGGATTTTTGGGTCCCGTGACAAGAATTCCAATTACCTGCAGACCCTATCACCGAACATTAAGTGCAATTAATGGATCCTGTTTTCCTCAGGAACTCACAATTTGCAATGGCAACCTCCTTTAAAATGAAATTCGCCCTCTGTGTAATAATTAAAAAGAGTAATAGTTGTTTTCTTTTTTACTTTTTCTTTTTCTTTTTTTTTTGGAGATGGAGTCTTACTTTGTCTCCAGGCTGGAGTGTAGTGGCATGATCTCAGTTCACTGCAACCTCTGCCTCTCAGGTTCAAGCAATTCTCCTGCCTCAACCTCCCAAGTAGCTGGGACTACAGGTGAACACCAACACATCCAGCTAATCTTTGTATTTTTAGTAGACATTGGGTTTCACTATGTTGGCCAGGATGGTCTTGATCTCCTGATCTCATCATCTGCCCGCCTTGGCCTCCCAAAGTGTTGGGATTACAGGCGTGAGCCACCGCATCCGGACTGTTTTTGTTTTAATTTAGGAGACAGAGTCTCGCTCTGTCACCCAGGCTGGAGTGCAGTGGCATGATCTCTGCTCACTGCAACCTCCACCTCTCCTGCCTCCTGGATTCAAGCAATTCTCCTACCTCAGCCTCCTGAGTAGCTGGGATTACAGGTGACTGCCACCACACCCGGCTAATTTTTGTATTTTAGTAGAGATAGTGTTTCACCATGTTGGCCAGGCTGGTCTCAAATTCCTGACCTCAGGTGATCTCCCCACCTGGGTCTCCCAAAGTGCTGGGATTACAGGTGTAAGCCACTGTGCCTTGCCTGTGAGTGACAGTTTTTTAATTCTTTGTATCTCCCTTCTCCCTCACAACACACACACACAAACACACACACACACACACACACACACAGATACACACCACTGCTTCTTTGGACTTGTTAGAAATAAGGAATGGGATCATTACTGAGCTATCTATATCTATCTCTTAGTGGTTTCCTTGACAACACTAAAGTTTGGAAATTACCATTTGTAAGGATCTAAATTCTTAGACCAGGAACTGCCTTATCCAGATGGTCTAAGGATGGAAGACAAAGGGTTTATTAAGGGTTTATTCTTCTAATATTTATTCATTCACTTCCTCATTTATTCACTGTGTTTCCCAAAAGCCACTTGTCACTGCATGTAATTGCCTTTTATTAAATAAGTAAAAAGTGATACATATAAGCACTTAGGACAGTGCCTGGTAGATAGTAAGCATCTGAGTTATCTATTACTCCTTTATTTCATTAATTCTAAAATACACCTTTTTCCAAATTTTAACATCTCCAAAATCAGGATACAATTTGCAGTCGAAGGCACTTAGAATTGAAGAAATACTGTATTGTTTATTGTTGTTCTGCTCCACTTGGCTGGAGGCCTCTTAATGGCTGGGGTTTCTTCCTCCTTACACTCCAGCACCCGGCATGGTGTGGTTTGGGTGGAATGAATGAAAACATGGATGAAGTCTTTCCTGATACCACCTGTTCCACCACACAGACAGCACTCACTTTCCTTGGAACTCGTAAGGCTCATGGTCAGACATCTTTCCTGGCACTTCTTATATTCTACTTTGAACTATGGTTGACTGCCCATGTCACCTTATACCAGTGTAATGAAGGCAGGGACCCTGTCCTATTTATCCAAGTATCAGCATTGCACCGTGCCTTCCACATCGGTGCCTTAATCAAAGTATTTTTGGTCCCAAGAAAACGCACAATGTCAGCTTCCCCGTGGTCTCTAGTTGGCTGGGCTGTGAGCTCTGTGAGGGCAGTGATCAGGTTCCTCTCATCTCTCGGTGAGCTTCGTATATAGTAGGTGCTCAATAAGTACTGAATGAAGAACTTGTCCACACCCACCCTGCTTCACTCCCAGGCCAGTCTGACACAACTTCCCTCTCTAATGTAAATCCATCGTGAAGTGTGCAATGACACACGTGTTTCCAGAACCAACACAACAGCAGCAGCAGCGGTTCTTCAAAATTCCTGACTGCAACAGAAGTGGTGGGGAGGTAAAAAGGGGTCTGTGATTCACGTAGAAGTTTTCTCTGCTCAGAAAACTCTTGCTCTGGAGCAGGGGCTGTAGCTCTTAAAACTCTCAGTGCCAAATTTAATCAGAATCTCTGGGAGTGAGACCCAGGGAACAGTATTTTTTGTTTTTATTCTCAACACACAGCCCATTGAGGTCTGTCGTAACCTGCAACACAGAAATTTGCTCTAAACAAATTCAATGTGGGGTGACTCTGGACTTTGTGAAGGACTCCTCACTGGAGGTCTTTGGAATGGAGAGCTCCCCAAGGGACCATGAGAACCTTCATACCTTTCTCTAAACCTCCTGAGGAGGGCAGGTGCACTGTCTGGGCCTGTGGCTGAGCTGGGGTTGTGTAACTGTCAAGCCTGCCATAGATTTCTGGGCAAGACACTGGAACACCTATGTCCTCTCTCTCCACCCCTAGCTATGACCTCAAGCAAGTCATTCCCTCTCTGCGTAACTCAATTTCCTTATTTGCAAAGCAAGATTGCTCTAATGTCCTATAGCTCAAAAGTTTTATAATTCACTCTAGCCTCTCAGGTGTTAAGAGGTGTTGTTATAGTTGTCTATAACAAAAAATTTAAAAAATCTTTTCATGTGTGGCAAGAATAGAATTATTTTTTAGGCTGTGAGATTTGAATTCTTAGCTGTTTTTTGGCCACCTAATTAATTTCATCCAGCATTTGTATCAATATGGAAACATTTACTTCCTGTTTTTTGAGGTGTGTACTGGTGTGAAATGAATTATCCTAACTTGTATTTTCATTAATCAGAAAATAATTCTAGGTAAAGATGAAGTGCCTCTAAAAGAAAATATGTTCAATCTTCACCTAATAAAGCATTAAATGAATTTCTTATATTTGAATTCTATTTAGACTTTGCCATAGAAACAAAATAGCTGTCTGAGTCAAGTGATTTATTCTTTTTTAAAAAGGGACAGTGACTTTAAGCAGTACCTGTCTATTAATCAGTCTTCCAAGTAAGCAAGAGGGAATTGAATGCAGAACAAATGGTAAACTAGCACTACAACAGCAGTCAATAGTTTATTCTTAAGAGCTTCCCCGAAATTCATTCTGTCTAGAATAATAATAGCTAACATATCATGCTTATTATGTGCCAGGCACTGTTCTGACTGAATGTATTATTAGCTCATTTGATCTTCACAACTGCCTTCCTGGGAGAATACTGTATCCTTCCTTTTTTTTTTTTTGAGACAGAGTTTCACTCTGTTGCCCAGGCTAGAGTGCAGTGGTGTGATTTTTTGGCTCACGGCAACCTCCGCCTCCCGGGTTCAAGCGATTCTCCTGCCTCAGCCTCCTGAGTAGCTGCAATTACAGGTGTGCGCCACCATCTCAGCCTTCCAAAGTCCTGGGATTACAAGCGTGAGCCACTGTGCCAGGCCCATCATCCCTCTTTTACAGAAGAGGAAGCTGAGGTCAAGTAACTTGTCCAAGACCACATAGCCAGTACTTAACCATTGCATTGACTGCCTTGAGAAAGTTCATAAACAATTTTGCAGGTGAACAGATTCTGATAACTGAATGTAGATTTTTCGAGAATTATTCAAATTATTTAACAAGCCTGTACAATGCCTAGCATTGTGCTAGGCTAATGTTTCCCCAAACGAGTTCAAGGTCTTACTTGATCCTCCTTGATAAAAGGGTTACTGGACCATTAAGTCTGGAAGATGTCCTAAAATTTAGCCTGCTTTGGGAGATTCAGAATTACATCAAAGGTTCTGCGAAACCTTACAGGAAAGATATCCACATGCTTACCTCAGCTTTGCTAACCACATTTACCTCTGGAAATTCTCCTCTCCATCTCCTGTGCTCCACCTCTACCTTCTTTTGCAACACCTATAAATGTAAGAGTTATTGTACCAGACACTTAAGGCATCTAATGAGCTTGGCTTCCTAAGCCTAAGAAGTGTGATGCTTTACCTGCTAAGTGTTATATTGATACTTTGAAGAATGGTTCTCATTTCACAGCAGTTGAGTAACTAAACACAGGTACGCTAGTTAGTGGTAGAAAGGGGATCCAATGGGAGGGTGTGACTTCAGAACTCATGCTAATCTTAGCCACTACTCCACTGGGCCACCCTATATCTAATAATAGGTGAACATCTTGTCTGGATGGGAATCTACCCTGCCCCATGACATAATGCCGTCAGCTGCGCTGCAGGCCCTGCTTTGACCTCACATCATGGTTCTAGGCTTACTCTCTAAAGTCAGGCCCTTCCCTGTCTCTCAGTCCCAGCAATTGTATTTCTGCCCCATCATTCACATGCATGTCTCTTTTTCCTTGGGACCCAGATTCCTCTGAGATAGGAGTCTAGCTTTGAATCCCAATTGAGTGGCTGATCCTTAGAATTTGCAGCTGAACGTGCCTGATGCTAGCTGCCTGTTCTTCCGGTCTCCTGCTGTGCCGTGCTCACAGGGGTCATAGTGACTCTATCTGGGCTTTCCCTGGGGCTGTTGGAACCCTGGTTATTGCAGTGCCAATGCTCAAGGAAGCTAAACAGTTAGCTGAAGAGGCAGAATTCATGAACAGGAAATGATGTACAAAGTGCTAAAGGAGATGGAACTAACCAAAGTTCAAGATGGCCTGGGACAAAAAAAGAGCTGGATATGAAGGGTGACAGCTCCCAGTAGAAGGGACCCAGAAGAGTTTGGAGTGCAGGCAGTTCTGCAGGGACAAGGATTCAAGGACGGGGCTGAGCAAGTGTTGGAGACAGTGGGTGCAATCACCTGACTGGTTCTAATATGCGGCTGGAGTGTTCAAGGGTATGGTGGAAGGGAGGATGTGAAGAAAGGCTGGGAGCTCACAGAAGGTTTTGACTTGCAAAGAAGGCAGCACACTACAATCATTAATTGTACTGTTCCCTTCACATACAAGACTGAAGTCAAAATTGTCTCTGTCACTTATGTGACCTTGGAGAAGTCACAACCTAAGCCTGTTTCCTCATCTAACAAATGGGGACAATAGTACTAATATCTCATAGGGAACTGAGGATGAAATGTGAATTGAGAATGGATATCTAAGGCTTAGCACACTGCCTGGTGAGAGCACAGTAAGGGCGCCTTCAAGAGGGCTTTACCAATCCGTAACAACTGTGTACAGGTTCAAAGAAGCCTCCTTTGTGGAGAACCATGAGTGTTCAGCTGGCTCCTCAGGAAATTACATGGACAACCAGTACTTTCGTATCTATTTCTTCACTTGGCCCTCCAGAGTGCTGCCACCTGAAGCCTGAGCATTTCCTGTTCTGCAGCCAGGACTTGTCACCTAGACAAGTAACTGGGAACTTTGTGCAAAACTAAGGGACACTTCCCAAATGCTGAATGCTTGGTGCCTATGAGAAAATGTCATCTTCCATGGAAAATATAGAAGGCTATCCATGCTGGACATATAAGGGTCTGGGGCCCTCCTTTGTGACCCAGAAACTTAAAAATGAAAATGCATTCTTTGGCGAGGCACGGTGGCTCACGCCTGTAATCCCAGCACTTTGGGAGGCCAAGGCAGGCAGATCACCTGAGGTCAGGAATTTGAAACCAGCCTGGCCAATGTGGTGAAACCCTGTCTCTACTAAAAATACAAAAATTAGCCAGGCATGGTGATGCAGGCCTATAATCCCAGCTACTTGGGAGGATGAGGCAGGAGAATCACTTGAACCCGGGAGGCGGCGGTTGCAGTGAGCCGAAGTGGCACCACCGCACTCCAGCCTGGGCGAGAGAACAAGACTGTCTCAAACAACAACAACAAAATGCATTATTGAGCTGGGCATCGTGGCACATGCCTGTAAGCCCAGCTCCTTGGGAGCTTAAGCCCAGGAGTAAAAACAAAAACAAAAAAACCCAAAAAACCCCAGCATGCTGACTCACTTTTTAAAGATTAAGGGACCCAAAGTAAATCATGCTGTGCTTCCTTCTTAAATCTTATCCTCAGGGGAAGTCAAAGTCTACTTTGAAGGGAAAAGAAGTCCCCAAGGTCAACAGAGTCTGAGAAACTGTAAAGATGGGAGGGCTTCCTGTCCACTTTGCCTTGGGACCCAGGTTCTGGGGTCAGGCTGAAAAGCTCCTCTGAGATCATCCTGTCCAATGGCTCGCAACCATTTCCCACCTCTAACATGAGCTCCCTCTGGCTGTGACTCTCAACCAAGGAGAGAAAGGTGGAAGTGTTTGAAAAAGCCCTTCAGGAACGTGAAAGGCAGGCTGGTAGCCTCCTTTGAGACTCACCAATTAGCAAACCTGTAATTTTACAGATGAAGATATTGAGGTCAGAGAGATGGAGTCTGCCCCAGCATTAGGAACAAACAGGACCAGCACTAAACCCAGACCACCTGACTCCCAGTCCCCGACCTTTCTTTGACTTCCATAGTTTTTTATGGCAGACTGGCAAGTCTTTCTTTGGAATTCTCCTCTTCCCAATCTCCCACTCACAATCTGAGCACAAACACTCTGAGCACAAAAACAGTACACCTGGTAAGTGTTCCTGATATTCTACCACCAGACCTGTTCTGACAGAACTAGCAACGGGCATCCTGGCCAAACGTGTGATTCCTGAATGAAGAGTCTAGACACTGGCCGGGTTACAATGGCCACTTTCAAAGTGCAGGCAATTTACTTTTGCCTGGTTTTAGCAGTGACTAACAATGTACGATCAAGTCTGGCTTTAAAGAGTCCTTGTTATTTCCACATCCTTGTACTCATTTGTGAGCCTGGTAACAAGTATGCAGTGTCAACAGTCCATCCTAATGAGCTGTCGCAACTCAACAGCTACGGCAGAAGGGAACTGGCTGAAGAATCTGTGTGCAGTTATGTAGCTCACTGAATTCTCATGGTCTTCCCAAATTCTCTGATTTCATTTGGAAATTAGCCCATCGAGGCTTCCAAAAAATTTATCCTAATATTCCCAGGAAAGAAAATTTGAGGCCTACTAAACTTAATGTGGGAAGTTAGTTCCATTTCAAGATATCATGGAATCAAACCTCCAGGCAAGAGCATTTCAGGTCTGGTGTTCTCTGAGAACAAAAGTAATACAGTTTATGTTAACTTTACCTAATTGTAAATAAGGGGGCTATGTTTTATGCTGAAAATAACAACTCAGAATACCTTGCCCACCCTAATACACCTCCTGAAGACAGTGTATCGCGTATCAGTTATCTATTGCTGTGTAACAAATTACTCTAAAACACAGTTGCTTAAACCACAAACATTTATCATCTCAGTTTCTGTAGATAAGATATTTGAGAGTGGCTTAGCTAGGTGGTTCTAGCTCAGGGTCTCTCATGAGGTTGTGGTCAATGCATTGGCTGGGACCACAGTCATCTGAAGTTTGGGCCTGGAGAATTGCTTCCAAGATGGCTCCCTCACATGGCTTTTGGCTGGAGGCCTCTGCTCCTCACTTCTAGGTCTTCTCCATGGAGTTGAGTGGCCTTACAATATGGCTGCTGGCTTTCCCTAGAGTGAAGGATCCAAGAGAGAGTAAGGAGGATGCAATGCCTTTTATTACCTAGTCTCAGAAGTGACACACCATCTATTTGTTGGAAGGGAATCACTAAACTCAGCCTGTACTTAGAGGGGAATGAAGTGTCCCGTCTTAAAGAGAAGCATATCAAAAATTTGTGGATAGATTTTAAAACCACCACAGATGGCAAAGCATTATTTTCTTATTTGTTAACAGTAACTTATCAGTGTTCACCCCACCTTCTAGTATTTTCAAATTGATGTTTTTTAAACCAGCATGGTAAAATAACTGTCATGTATGTATTCAGGTAGAGAATTAAAATATACCAATATCTGAAAAGGCAAGTCTGCTTATGATAAATTTCCTGAAGATTAATTTCACATCATTAACCACAACCCCTCCCCAAAAAAGCTCAAAATATTTCTTAAGCAAGAGAGGCTAATGGTAACTTACAAAGGAACAGAATAATAATCACTGCATCAACTATCTTTCTTTTTTCCAAATATCTACTAATATTCACTTCTTTCCTTCACAGAAGCCAATCCACGGTAAAATACTTTTATTCCACTCCTACTTAAGGAATACATAATCAATACAAAAATTGTACTTTTTTTTTTTCTTTTTTGAGACGAGGGTCTTGCTGTTGCCCAGGCTAGAGTGCAGTGGTGCGACAGCTTGCTGCAGCCTTGACCTCCTGGGCTCGATCAATACTCCCACCTCAGCCTTCTGAGTAGCTGGGACCACAGGCTTGTGCCACCATGCCTGGCTAATTTTTTTTTTATTTGTAGAGACAGGGTTTCATCACGTTGCCCAAGCTGGTCTCAAACTCCTGGGCTCAAGCAATCCTCCCGTCTCAGCTTCCCAAAGTGTTGAGATCACAGGTGTGAGCCACTGCAGCCGGCCAAAAAACTGTACATGTCTTTAATGCAGGTCATACTGTAATTGCTTCCACCTAGTGGATGAAAATGG
The DNA here is from genome assembly GCF_000001405.40 of Homo sapiens. Lineage (NCBI taxonomy): Eukaryota > Metazoa > Chordata > Mammalia > Primates > Hominidae > Homo > Homo sapiens. Next base: position 28,896 of record NW_025791811.1, on the reverse strand, counting down.
TACTAAAAGAGTTTGAAAAAATATATAAACTTCCCTCACAGGTACTTCATGACTCACACACTTCTGTAACTTTTTACAATCATATCACATACTTGATGTATATAGGTAGCTTACATCTCAATAAATCCTACAAATTCTTCCTATAAAGCAAAAATTCTTTTGTAGGTATACATTTTCATATTTACCTTTGGAATTCTCCAGGCCAACCTGGAATATTGCTAAGAACCAGGAAATAAGCCAAACAGTCTCCTGGCAGCCAACAGGTGTCACGGTGTGCACATACTAGAGCCCTGTCAGACTGACAACTATAAAAGCAGAGACTAGTTGGATGCCTGGCACATGAAACTCAATGAAGATCTGTTAAAGGAACCAATAAAGCTCATGAATTTTATTCCAAAGGAGTCTTTCTCCCAGAACCTAGTTCCTCTTTCCTACCTTAATACAAAAGTCCTAGAAATCTTTCAGTATGAATTCTAATCTTATAGCTAAACAGAGAAGAAATGACTCAAGAAAGTTCATTTTGGTCAAGGTGTTGAGATTGACAACTGACAGCAAGTAAGAAAAGTGCTGGAAAAGACACAAAACCAACCACAGCATTCTTGGGACCAGTCTGGGAAGAAGCAATACAGACAACTTGAGTTTATGATATTATCTGTGGGGTTATCAAGAAATGGTTATTGGCCAGGCCTGGTGGCTCACACCTGTAATCTCAGCACTTTGGGAAGCCAAGGTGGGCAGATCACAAGGTCAAGAGATTGAGACCATCCTGGCCAACATGGTGAAACCCCATCTCTATTAAAAATACAAAAATTAGCCAGCGTGGTGGCACGCGCCTGTAATCCCAGCTACTTGGGAAGCTGAGGCAGGAAGAATCACTTGAACCCAGGAAGCGGAGGCAGCAGTGAGCCGAGATTGCGCCACTGTACTCCAGCCTGGAGACAGAGCGAGACTCCGTCTCAAAAAATAAAATAAAATAAAAAATAAAAAAATAAACCAACAAAAAAGATGATTATTTATCATATACCATTTAAGAATGTAACATTTATGAAAAATTTTTGATAAAGACCTTTTAAAAGTTTCATTGCTTAAAAGGATGAGCTCTTAATCATTTGGAAAATGTGGTTATTCAGAAAAATTAGTTTCCTGAGGGCTCCAAACAATAAAAGCTTAATAGCACACTTCCAGCAGATTTAACTACAAAAATAATTTCACTAGTGTTATACACACTAAAATAAGTGTTTTCACTACAATCACTCACATTAAACAATAAGGGTCCTCAATTAGCTGTGTTTGATTTACTTAATTTTTTTAAACAAATGGAGCTTTTTTTGGGATAGCCAGAGTAGAGTAATCCTTAGCTCCACCCCACCATCCACATATAATTCCGTTGACATTAAATAAGCAAAAGTAATATTCTTGCTTGGAAAATTCAAATTTTACAGGAAGTTTAAAAAGTGAAAAGTACAAGTCTCCCTCCTAGTTTCTATACCCCTGACAGACATTCAAACAGAATGACACAGACACACCCAGTTCCTCAGTCCCCTTCCTCAGCAACAGCCACTTAACACTGAGATGTGTTCTTCAAAAACAAGTATTAGTGCACAAAAACACATGTCCTTTTGGAAATATAGACCCCTGGAATTTACCCATTCCTCCATCATCAGTTTGCACTTTAAAACACAGGGTTTTTGGTGGATTTTTCTTTAGATGAGGTCTCCTCTTTTGCCCAGGTTGGAGTGCCGTGGCACAGACAGCTCACTGCAGCCTTGAACTCCTGCCTGCCTCAGCCTCCCAAGTAGCTGGGACTACAGGCATGCGCCATTGCACCTGGCTAGCGCAGTTTGTTTTTTGTTGTTGTTCTCTCTCTTCAAGTTCTGAAAATTAAGCTAAAAAAAAAAAAAACCCCAAAAAACAAAACGCCAAATTCTACTTCACAGGTTTACTTTGTGTTAAAACAAAAAAGCTACCAAGCGTATCCCAGTTTCAAATATCGATGATTTTTCAAACTGAAGGGAACAATAATTTCTTTTTCTCCTACAAATCTTGGTTTTTAACTATAACTTAGTCTTTCAAAGGGCAAGTTTGTTATATAATTAGTTCAAAATGTAACTGAATATCTACTATGTGGAAAGTCCCATGTGCTACGTACAGGCTAACACACAGCCCCCACCCATGGACAGCTTGTTGCTAATACAGTAAAGGAGGGAAGGAAGGCAGAAGAGAGACTGAGAGGAGACAGAAGGAAATGCTATTATAGATCACTGAAGGCTGAAGATGAGGCTAGGGCAGTGCCCAGGTTAAATGGAAAAGACAGCGAACAGCTAACTGGAAACAAAACACTTAGCGCTCACTCCTGCTTGCTTCTCAGCCTTCTCCCTGCTTCCTCTATGTTCTTCTCACCTATCCTAAGCTGTCTGAGCTTGATTATCTCCAAATGATTTTGAACCCTCCTCGACAACAACAGGACTGTGAACTTGGATTAGGATAATAGTGCTTAAGCCCTGAAATTACAAAGGAAAGCTTAACAATAAACTGATGACTGTGCAGAGACTGTTACATGTGATTCTACTTCTGGTATTCTTTAAAATGTTTTCTTCTTCCCTAAGGTAGGGTGGGGTGTAAAACCATGGTGGTCCCACCCACACCATGGAGATAAAAAAGAAATAAGGTTAAATTCAGATGCTTTAAAAAAAAAGAGTTGAGGAGGGATTTAATAAAGATACATGCTCTTCTAAATTCTAAAACCACATAACTCTGGAGAAGGTGCATATTCATCTGTTCCTCTTCAAGGCAAAGAAAACAGTATGACAAATGAAAAAGGTGTAAAAGGTCAGCATGAGTAATATTTTCCAAGGCATTTACATATGTGAACATTATTTGCAAATATTTTAGGGAAATATTTTCTTTGCTTTTAGGCTGAATCTGCAAAGACACTCAGCAGTATCCTTATGAGAACAGAAACAATATGAAACTGAAATGGTTACTATAGATGTGATATTAGGTTTTCCTAATTATATGAAAAGCCTATTAGTAAATAGCTTAGAGTGCTTCTTGCTTCAAAATATAATAATTTTAGATGTTAAAGCTATCCATTTCTGATGAAAATTCTGGACGACATTAACACTGAATAAATATTTATTGTGATTTTTTCCCCGGTGGCATAAGGTTGTTTATTTTTCCTAGCTCTCCAAATGACACAGTTGCGGAACCTCTTTCAGCTGGTCTTGCCTGAAAATAATAAAGATTAAAGATATTAGAAATAGATAGATAATACACAGCCCCAATTAAAGCCCTTAATGCTGTCTTACATTACCCCTTCCCCCAAGTTAGTAAACAATAATCTGAACACGAACCCACTAAGAAAAGTGATCCATCTTAGTAACGTTACCTGTGACTCATGATATTTCCATCCTATCATGTAATAGATCTGGTATGTAGCAGGTACTGAACCATCTTCATTTCTGTACATTTCTAAAAAGACAATAATGGTTAAAGTCTGAAAAAATGCAAGTAGGAAAAAATTTCTGCTCAATAAAGGTCATGTTCTTCAAAAAGAAATGGGTACAAGGATACTTGTAAGATTCTGAGAACATCTTACATGAAAAATTCTTAATACTGAGGGTAAGGAAATAGTAAAGGCTGTCTGGAAAAAGCTACAGGATCTGTGTTTTGAGAGGAAGGACAAGAAGTCTGAGGGAGCCTTAACAGGAATGGAAAATGCATTGGCAACGTGAAGGGAATCAACATGATACAGCACAAGTGCCTTGGTGAGGCGGGTGAAAGAGTGGTCGCCCCTTACCTCTGTACACTGCCGCAGCTGCCAGCATTGTGTCTCGATGCAGCAGGGCTTTTCTATTCCAAGCACAGTTACTCTCACCCATACCTACAAATACACTACAGGTAGTTTGAGATAATACAGCAAACACCCTGAACAGCTCAATACCACAGACTTAATCCCGTCTCATCTAACAGTATACCTGTCCTCATTCTCTAAGGGTCATGTAAACCTAAATCTCATTTCACTTTCAGATTATAACTGGGTTTCTTAGTGACTCTAAAGCGAAACTACTTGAAACTTTTTCAACATTAAGACAGGCAAGTGAAATTTCAGGAGGCAGCTCCACAATGCTTTACTTGCCAGCAATGGTCTAAAGTAAGCCCGCTGGGCAAAAGCCAGGTGACTGCCACCCCAGGTGAGTTGTCAGCAATTGGCAAGAACTTTACCAAGGATGTCACATCTCATGCTTTTAGCTGCTCTTTGGAGGAGGACAGGTCAGTGCAACAATGCCTCACTCCTAAGCCATAATGCAAGTATGACTGTGAAACTTGGAAGACGGCTTTGAAACTCATTAGATAGTACCAAAGCTACTATGTGCTCTCAGATTTACAATATTTTACTAATCCCACATTAGGAAAGAATTATGTGCATTCTTTTGGAGGTACTTCTCTTAATGTTTTAAAATATTTAGACTTCCTTCGAGTTGATGGTGAAAAGCTAGGTTAAGCATTATTCTATTGTTCATTTAAGATTAATGTTGTATATTTGATTTTTCTTTATACAAATACTTAAATTTACTTTGAGCATATTTTAAGCCAGTCTGCAAAATTAAAAGAATTTCAGAAATAAAAATCCTTCATATGTATTCTCTATATTAAATTTTACACATGATCAAATGTTTCTTAGTTTTGTTTTTCTACTTTCACAAATCAACAAATGAATAAACTTACCAATATCAGTATTCTTTCACAGTTTAAAAATAATAATCTACCATATTTTCAATGGTCTTATTAAAAACAATCAACAAATGAGCTGCACCTAAACCTTTTTCTTCTCTTTAATCTCAAAAGATTTCTACTACTCTCTAAAATAATGAATCTCTGCTACTAAAATCCTGTAAGTGTAACAACCCCAATTCATGCAGATTGACAGACACAAACTAGTAGGTTAATTATCATCAAGAAAAAGGTGGATCATATTCTTAGTGTCATGAAGCAGCTGGATAACCTTGGGCCAATCATCTGTGGTCTTTAAAGTGACCAGACTAGATGCTCCGTAAAGGCTTCTAGTGCTCACATTTTAACCATATCAAGTGACCAGAGGTAAACTGGGTCTCACATTGGAAGAGTCTGTTGGCTCAGGTATGGTGCTTTCATTTCTGCTCAACTTCTCGCTGCTATGGCTTAATTATGCATTAGTTATGGACAACACCAGTAGAAAAGAGATTTAATTTTTTAGACATAAACATGTGATGCACTAGAAATTCTAAAATGCCTTCTAACAATCAGTATTAGGATATACTAATTAAGATTAGTAGGCATAACACTCTCTGAAGGTCTGACCTACATCAGCCATACAGAAATTCAAGAGCACTACTGCAGAGCACAGGGCGTAACTGTGCAGCACTCCAGCCTTCCCTCACAAGCCACTCACACTGCCACACTGAAACTCCCTTCTTGCAGAAGCAGTGTGAGGGTGGTGGAAAGAATCTGGACTTTGGGATCACACTCCCAGTTTTAACTCTTATATAACCTGGGGCAAAGTCATTCAACCTCTATCGAATTCCAGTTTTGCCATCTACAAAAGAGTAACACCTCCTAATGCATCATGGGGGACCTCTACTGAAGACCACCTGGGAAAAACTGAAACTTTGGGACTTCCGACTCGCCCTGGGCTTTGAGATAACAGAAAAATCTGGCTAGTAGGTTAACTGTTTAAGACTCTCACAGTGTTTTTAAGGTGAAGTTCAACTGCTTATCAAAAATAAACCTAATTTATTACAGTTTACTAAAAACAATACTGAGTATTGTTTAAAAAAATAACTGAACTTACCTTAAGACCACTGTGAAAGCCTTGAAAATTTCTCATGCATTCATCAGCTGATATGCAGCTTGTTTTGTAAAATTAGGTCAACATTCTGGACTTTTGTTCTGTGAATTAATAATAGCAGCTTAAATGAGACACACCACAACCATTAAGAAAAAAAATACACCACAAATGTAAAATCCCAGAAACAAATTTGGAAGTAACATGATCTTCTAGTCAGCAGAATGGCACACCTGAAAGTCTCCCACGGTCTCCCTGCCTCCATCATCCCCTGACTATGCTTCTTCCCATCTCATCTGCCTCTGACTTTTTCCAAGGCAGAATGGCTAAGATTTCAGCATACAAATCAGGCTGTTCGACTAGGTTTAAATCCTGGCTCTACCACTCACTAATTACAACATCTGGGACAAGTTACTTAACTTCTGCCTGGGTTTCCTCACACATTAAAAAAAAACAAACAAACAGATTAACCATGTTAGCTCTAGTCTTCCCTTCCTCATAAACTATGCCTCATAAACAATGCTGGAAGGTGAGCTTTCTAACACACACAAATGTATCTCATTTTCTCTCCTCTATGCAAAATTCTTCCAAGACATTACAACGCTAATCTGAAAAAAATCTAGAAGCCTCTGATCCTATTCATTTCCCATCATCTCCCCGTTCTATATACTCAAGGAATACTGGATTATGGTACCATTCCTTAATCAGGAGAGTGAAGGATGTGCATATCCTATTCTACCTCCATGTGGATGCAATGTTAGCTCCCCTAAACCTCAACCCACCTTTCATTCTCCGGGCAAACTCATTTTCGTTTAGGTGCTGCCTCTTTTGCAAAAGCATTCCTGACCCCCTAAGCAGATTTAGGGCCTTTTCCTCCTGTGTTTCTCCTTGTACTTTATTATAAATGATTTCATTTTACAGTTGAATGTAGGAGTCTGTCTCTATCTTTGCGTTCTTCTTCCCTAGTACAACATAAGCTCCCTGAGATCAGGAACTACGTATTTCCACCACTGGCTCCGTGGTTGGCACATGGGTAGATGCTCAATAAACGCTAAGTGAAGGTATATAAAACCAACCTGTTAATGATTATATCTATTTTGTTAAATATCATTTTATAAGTGTAAATAATTTCTCTTAATATTCCTAAGGATAAGATGTATCAAAAACTAAGACATCTGATTTCTGTAACAGACATTACAGTTAAGAAAAAGCAGCATTACGAAAGCATCTGAAAGTATTAGGCCATAGTTTCTGAAAATATACGGTCTATTTAAAACCTTTAGGAGACTCACACCTGTAATCCCAGCACTTTGGGAGGCCAAGGTGGGTGGATCACCTGAGGTCAGGAGTTCAAGACCAGCCTGGCCAACATGGTGAAACCCTGTCTCTACTAAAAATACAAAAATTAGCCAGGTGTGGTGGCACATGCCTGTAATCTCAGCTACTAGGGAGGCTGAAGCAGGAGAATTACTTGAACCCAGGAGGCAGAGGTTGCAGTGAGCCAAGATTGTGCCACTGCACTCTAGCCTAGGCGACAGAGTGAGACTCCATCTGAAAAACAAACAAACAAGAAACCTTTAGGAAAAGAGGGGGTTATCAATTTGGAAGGAGCACAAGGCTACCTTCTGGGAGACTGAAAATGTTCAATATTTTGTTCAGGATGGTGGTTAAAATACAAGCAGCTGTACCTTTAAGATTAATACATTTCGCTGAATATACATGTTAACCTGAATTTAAAGAATCACATACATATCAAATATGCAGTACAGGACTCTGAATTCAAATTGTAACTACAGATTCAGTGTGACCATGGACAAGATACTTAACTTCTCGATGCCTCAATTTGCTCACCGGTAAAATTAGGGTATTAGAAAAACCTCAGAGAATTGCACTAAGCACAGAGTTAAGTGCTGCTCATATGTTGAAATCAGTGGGAAGTAACTTTTTCCAACAGAGAGGTCTAATTTCTAGTATGTTTCTCTTTTCTTTCTTGAAATGAATCATGAACACAGATTCTACAGCAGAACAAAAATAAATGCTGTATTTGAATAACATTTTTATTATTAGAGCCCGAGTGATATATCATCAGCCCACCATCATCTCTCAAGCCTTTGGATAAAGTGGCTCCTTGATTACATCAGGTAAGTCCTTGGGGTATGCTGGGGAAGGGGTGTGTGTGACTTATTACTGATCCTCTGTTATCTTGGCCATGCATGCTACAGGCTGCCAATCCCTCTATTAATGAATGAAAACTGATGACAATGGTAAGATTTCAGCTACGCATCTTTCCGTTTGCAGAGTGACAGAAGCTCCACACTCAGAGGAGGCTGCACGATAGGTCAAATGAACCTTGTTACAGATGGGCAACACAAGAAGGAACAGGGTCAGTTCAGACAGTGCCAGGGCAGAGCCAAGAAGCATGAGTTTGGCAGCTAATTCTGCCACTTGACAGGTAACTGTTCTCTTTGGCCCTAATTATTCTCACTCGTAACTTAAGCAAGCAAGAACAACAATGCTCACAAAAGACTATAAATCTGTAAGTAAAGACTAGATACTTATTTGTATAATCCTCTTTCTTTAAATCATCTTACAATTTTTCAGGATCCAGATGAAGGCTCCCCTAGGTAAGTGTAGTTCTGGATTCACAGAACATACCTTTAACCCCTCTTGCTTCCCCCATTCATCGAAATGATTTTTGATGTCAGTCTATATATATAAAAGAACCACCTCACAAATTCCCACAAAGGACGCAAGTTGAAGCTCTCTTTTAAGGAAACTGCTTCTCCAGCATCCCTTTCAAGTAATAGTTTATTTTTGCATATATTTTGCATATCTAACCTCTTTCAGAGTTTGATCTGTATCCTTCTTACTCCTTGAAGCCTCTTCCAAGCCATTACTTCCCTACCCTATTAAACACCTTCACCCTGCTGAGGCCCCACACCAGAAGGCTGTTAGCTCCTCCTAACTCCTGCTTGCTGTCTGACATCAGGCTAGTCACTCCCCTCATTCACTGAAAGGTTTGGCACTTGGCTCAGTTTTCCTCTACACTCCAGTACTGCCACCATCCTGGGTGACTTCATGTTAATAATCAGCAAGTTAAGATTTTAAAATCTCATCTCTAATCAACCACTCCATCACACCACCTCTGCCTTGATACCTGAGACACGTCCCAGACCATTATCACTTGTAACTGCTTTACTTCCAAAATCATCAAACATCTCATTTTCTGACCATACCCTCCTGTCCCTCCAGTGTGTTCAGGAACTTCAACCGTGACCATCCCTGACCACACTGGAACCACCTGTGCTCAGCTCCTCTTTTTCCTCCCAATTTATCAGCTCACTCTTTCTTGTTCCCACTTCCCTTTTCTTCCAGCTAAGATTCTTTAACCTATTATCTCAATTATACTCCTAGAATTATCTTTTACCTTTGTCTTTTTGTCACTTTTAACTAGCAAACCCCCAACCCAAACTAATTCAACTATCCGATTTTCGTGCCTGGTCCTGAGCTGCCACCTCCTGTTGATGGTCAGTTCACCTTCTCATTCCCTATAATGACTATTTCAAACGGTTCCATTCACTTCTCAAAACTCTGACCCTTTCATTCTTAGCATATATTACTTCCAGTTTGACAAAAAAAATAGACCCACAAGATGGGAACTTCTTGTTTTCAAACATAAACACCTACATCCTTTGGTGCTACCTCTTCTCCCTTCCTGCTATAACTTTGCCTCTCCCCTTACCAAGGTCAACCCCTCCACTGGCCTTTGTATTGCACCCTTCCCACCTTCTCAGACACCTGTCATCATCAATTATCTTTTCTCTCTCTTCTAGAGTCACCTCTTCTAGGAAAGCACTTAGATTCTTCTAGTCAGCAATTAAATAAATTCAAGTCTTAGAAAAAAAAAAACAACCTCATCTCAACTTCTATTCCTCTCCTCTCTTCTGACACCTGTAACCTTTCCATCCTTCACCTCTTCTTCACCACCAGACTTCTTGAAAGAACAGCACATATCTGCTATCTCCAGTTCCTCACTTTCCACTTACTCCTCAACCTACTCCTCTTCTACTCTCCTCACTCTAACAAAAGAGCTCTCACCAGGGTCACCAATAACCTTCTTGTTCCTAAATCTAGCGGACTTCCTTTTCAGTTCATAGTTTGCTTTTAACGCTGCTAAGTGCTCCCTTTGTTTTGAAACATTCTTTCTTTCCTTTGGTTCAGGCAATTCTACACTTTTCTGGTGTTTTTCTGGAACACCTTGCTGGCTACTCCTTCTCAGTCTCTTTGTAGGCTCAGACGTCGACTACCCACCTGCTAAAGCCTCAGTACCAAGCCACTTTGTCTGCTCACTCCATGTTCTTATCCTAGGCAAACGCTTTGAATGCCACCTATTCACAACTGACTCCCAACTTTTTAACCAAGCCAGTAGCTTCCTCTGAGCTACCTACCCACATACTCAACTGCCTACTTGACATAACCTCTTAGGTATTTCAAAAGCACTTCAAACCCAATGTATCCAAATGTAAACTCAAGGGCTGTACCTGCCCACACCTGGTATTCTTCTATTGTTTCTTCTATCAATGAAGGACACCATCTCTCTATGTGAGCTAGAAACTCAGCAATTAAGCTTCAAATGTCTTTCTCCTTCATCTGCCCACAGCCAATCCACCAGCAGGAACTGCAAAATTTATCTCCTAAACATCTCTGGGATGAATCTGCTTCTCTTCATCTCCATTGCCACCACCTTAGTACAAACTACCATCATCTCTCAGCAAGCTATACTGAAATTAATCTCGTGACTAGTTTATCTGCCAATCTACTCTTTTCAAAATCCAAGTCTGATACTGTTACCTCTCTAAGATGCCTCAAGGGGCATTTTAAGATAAGGGCAAACAATTTTAACAAGGCCTATAAAGTACTTCTGCATTTGATCTGTGACTCACGTTGACCCACCAAGGTCATCACTTAACTCTCTCCTTCTTACTCCCTGAACACCAGCCAAAATGCCCTTCTTTCAGTTCTTGCTATGTTCATTCTCACAGGAGGGCCTTTGCATATGCTGTTCTCCTTGCCTCAGATTCACTTGCCTACTCTGTCTACCCAGTTAATTCATCTCCATTTTTTTTTAGAGCACAGCTCAATTGCTACTTCCTCAGATAACACTTCTTTTTGAGTCTCCCAGACTGGGACATTTCCCCCTGACAAAACCCTACTTCTAAACCAACTCAACTACCTTCATTCCTGTATCTCAGCTGCCAAGTGTGGCTGAAGGAAGTCACCAATGTGTTCCATCATCCTCAAGTGCACCCTTCAAAAAAAAGTCCCGCCATCTTTTTACAAACAGCCGTAGCACTATATGCCTCTACTTCATAGCACTGACCATAATTCTAATTTAACACTTATCTCTGTGACAGCTGCCTGGTGCCTGCCTCCTCCATTTTATATCAGAAGCTCCATGAAGACAGTCTGCTTTCTCCTCAACAATGGATCCCTAGTGCTTTGCCCAGTGCCTGCCAAAGAGCTGGCTCTCAAAATGTTTCTCTCAAATGGAGTCTAAAAATTCTTTTTTTTTGGCCTACCTTTCCCAATGGAGTCTAAAAATTCTTTAAAGTGCCTTACCTTGTAAATCTTCCATCAATTCAAACATTCCAGGATAGTTAACTTGAATTTCATCAGTGTCCTATTTAAAAAGAAAAAGAAATATTCATTTGACATTCATGATACAAAATTCCAGATTTAAAAAAGAGGCCGCAGAGACTACCCAGACCAATCTCCCATGCTAAGCAAAAAATATTTACAATATTCTTCATAGATGTCATCTGGCTTATGTTTGATTTATGAAAGTCTCTAATTGCTGATTAAATATCCTGCATTGTGAGAGAAATCATCCTAAAACTCCATCATTGGTTCTAGTTCTCTCTTTGGGAACCACACAGAATAAGAGTATTCTGTACCCTACAAACCATTGCCCTCTCCTCCAAGTCTTTGAAAACCTTCAGGACACAAAAATCTGGAGATCCTTACATGTTCTGACTACATGTCCCTGGACAGTGTCAATATCAATCTTTCTTAAAATGGGGCACCTAGAATCAAAATATTTCATTCTATATCTAGTAATGCAGCCAATAGGCTTGTTTAGGAAATGAGCACATTGCTGATACATGTGGAGTTTGTTTCTCAAATGAACAATTGGGTAATGACTTCCTCTTCTTTTTGAAGCCTGATACAGGACTTAACTGTTGGTACAGTGGCAGAGACCACTGATGCTCCCCAAATATCCAGGTGCTCCTTGACACTTCCCAATCTCAAACACATATTTCTTTTGGCCAAAGAAAGGAGGGGCAAGACAGTTAAGAGCTAGAGCCTTTTCCAGGCCATCTCTTTTGCTGTGGTGATCTTATAGAACACAGGGCCAGATTATAGAACACAGGGCCAGATGGCACAGCTACAAGATGGAGATGGGCTGTCCCACCAGCACGCAGCTGTGATGTGATAAAACTTTATTGTGTTAGGCACTAAAAGTAGGGGTTTATTCTTATTGGAAACTAGCCTAAAATAATTTTTTTTTTTTTTAAGACGGATTCTTGCTGTGTTGCCCAGGCTGGAATGCAGTGGTGTGATCTCTGCTCGTTGCAGCCTCTGCCTCCTGAACTCAAGCGATTCTTGTGCCTCAGCCTCCCGAGTAGCTGGGATTACAGGCGCCTGCCACCGTGCCCAGCTAATTTTTTTTTTTTGTATTTTTAGTAGAGACGGGCTTTCACCGTGTTAGCCAGGCTGGTCTCGATCTCCTAACCTTGTGATCCACCAGCCTCAGCCTCCCAAAGTGCTGGGATTCCAAGTGTGGGCCATGGCGCCTGGCTGGAAACTAGCCTAAAATAAATCTAAACATCATTAATAGAGGACTGGTTAAACAAATTAAAGAATATGTATTCTATAAAATACTGTACAGTTCTCAAAAAATAAGGTAGATACATGTCTATAGGAAAAAAATCTCCAAGACATGTTATTGACTGGAAAAAAAAAAGCAAAAGAGTGCATGTAATATTATATAAGTAAGTTTAAATGACATAAGTGTATTCTATGGGTCTATAAAAAAAAGTGGATCTGAAACGATGTCTAAGACACAGCTAACAAATCTTTGGGGAAAGGGACCAGGGTTTGAGAAGTCAGGAGGAGGGACAGGCACGATGGCTCATGCCTGTAATCCCAGCACTTTGGGAGGCCGAGGCAGGCAGATCATGAGGTCAGGAGATCGAGACCATTCTGGCTAACATGGTGAAACCCCATCTCTACTAAAAATACAAAAAATTAGCCAGGCATGGTGGTTGGTGCCTGTAGTCCCAGCTACTTGGGAGCCTGAGGCAGCATAATCGCTTGAACCCGGGAGGCAGAGGTTGCAGTGAGCCGAGATCACGCCACGGCACTCCAACCTGGGTGAAAGAGCAAGACTCCATCTCAAAAAAAAAAAAAAAAATTGCTGGGTGTGATGGCACATGCCCTTGGTCCCAGCTATTTGGGAGGCAGAGGCATGAGAATCCCTTGAACCTGGGAGGCAGAGGTTGCAGTAAGCGGAGATCTCGCCACTGCACTCTAGCCTGGGCAACAGAGGGAGAAGTCAGGAAGAGGAGACTTCGTTTCACTTTACACCCCACTGTATCACTCTCTCTATATATACCTTACTCTTCTTTAAAAAAACATATACGTGTATCAGGTTGTGTATGCTTTTTAATGAGACCTCTAGGTAGTGAGACCATGAACATTCATCATCCATATACTTTTCCATATTAACAAGCTGTTTTTAAGAGGAGATCCTAAGATTAAAAACAAAATTCTTTCCAGGCTGTTATCTAGCCATTAAGCAATATCCTTTGAAAACAATTCTTCAGTGCAACCAACTAAAAGCACTATCTCCACTTCAATCAAAAGAATGCCACAACAGCTTTGTTGAAGGCCTTATTTAAATTAAAAGGGGACCATATCTGCACCATTTTTTTTATTTTATTTTTGAGACGGAGTCTCACTTTGCCACCCAGCGCCCAGGCTGGAGTGCAGTGGTGCGATCTCGGCTCACTGCAACCTCCGCCTCCCAGGTTCAAGCTATTCTACTGCCTCAGCCTCCCAAGTAGCTGGGACTACAGGCCATGTGCCACCACGCCCAGCTAATTTTTTTGTATTTTCAGCAGAGACGGGGTTTCACTGTGTTAGTCAAGATGGTCTTGATCTCCTGACCTTGTGATCTGCCTGCCTTGGCCTCCCAAAGTGTTAGGATTAGAGGCGTGAGCCACCGTGCCAGGCCTTGCACCATTCTCTTAAAGTACTAGTCTGGTAGTTCAGTTCTAAAACGGAAATCAGCTTTACTTAGAATGCTCATTCTCTGAAAATAATTCATTAAGATGAAAATACATTAAGATGTAAATACATCTATATGATACTAATCTGACTCGATTTCACTTTAAAAATAAAAATCCATTGTAGCGTAAAAGTAATATATCTAATGTATGCAACATAAACCTGTATAGCTGATTATACAAAAGCTTTTTTGGATGGGAATTTTTAGAAAATGAATTAGAACACATATTATTATTATTTTTTTTGGAGACAGGATCTTGCTCTGTCACACAGGCTGGAGTGCAGTGGTGAGATCATGGCTCACTGCAGCCTCAACGTCCCAGGCTCAATCCTTCCAACTCAGCCTCCCGAGTAGCTGGGACTACAGGCAGGCCCAGCTATTTAAAAAAATTTTTTTTTAGAGATGAGGACTCCCTATGTTGCCCAGGCTGGTCTTGAAATCCCAGGCTGAAGTGATTCTCTGACCTAGGCCTCCCAAAGTGCTGAGATTATGGGAGTGAACAACTGTGCCTGGCCAGGACGCAATATTAATACAGCACCTCAGAAACAAAACTGTATACATGCCTCACAGGATAAATGTAATGATTCAAGAAGACATTCTCATAACTTTCTTATTAAATCAGCAACTTTCTAATTGTATAAACTAAAGAAGATTCTACACCAATATTTTTATATTATATTAAAGTATGAGTCATTAGGCTCATTTTTAGAGAATATGGATAGTATTCTGAATTATATTTCCCAATTAATAGAAATGTAGGCTTTTAAACATTTTAACATCAGGTTAAACATTTTTAGTAGAAATCTTTCTAAAACTCATTCTTTATAACCACAGAAAACCATGTGTAGTTCACATAATTTAACTTTCTTCTGGTGATTAGCAGAAATCCCATTTTTTTCGTAATGGGCAATAACTTTTGAGTCCTGTAATATTGCTGACTAACCTGTATGACCTCGTATAAATTTTTTAACATCACCTCATGAAAATGTGCACTACACATCGCCACACCATCCCAGCCCTACACCTCCTATACTTTTTAGAGGCTTTACATTCCCGGAGATTCTTTTTTCATCTCAATGATAGGTTGGTGACACAGCAATATAGGAGACGATTCTCAAGAGGGTAGACTGTAAAGGAAATTTTTTCCATATTATAAGTAAAATAAATATTATCAAAAAGGCTTTAAATCACTGGTTCCTAATCTATTTTTAGTTATATTAGCTCTCTCAAGATCTGATGAAAACCATGGGTACTTTCCTCCATTTATGAACACCACCACCACAAATTTTGTGTACAACATCCCAGTATTATTGAACGGTCTAAAGTTTACCAACAGGCCTGCTATAAACCCAAAAACACCACGCAGGGATTTCTGTTTTGTTCACTGCTATATTTGAAGTACCTAGGATAGTACCAGACACACAGAAGGTACTCAGTAAATGTTTGTTGCAAGACTGAATACATAAATGAATTTGTATAGAAGGATATTCACTGCAGCATTGCTACTATTGGCAAAAAATCAGAACAAACCTAAAGGTCATTCACAGGTAAATAGTTAAGTAAAACTGTGGTACATTCATACTAGGAAATAATATGCGGAAATTAAGGAGTGCAAATATATCCATACCAATTTAGAAAACTATTAACAGTATATTGGAAATACATATACTGTTAATAAAAAAAGTTTCAGAAATGTGTGAATACATATGACTGTCTATATAAAGTAGTCCTTGTTAAAAAAAAAAAAGTCTGGAAGGTTACACACTAAAGTGATAATAGTAGCTACCTCTAGGACAGTAGTTCTCCAAGTGTGGTTTGGAGAGTCCTGGGGTCCCTAGGACTTTTTTGGGGGTCCACAAAGTCAAAATTATTTTCATAATAATACCAAGATACTATTTGGCTTTTTACCTCTTATTCTACGATGGGTTATTTTAGAGGAGACATGACATGACACATGGTGTAACAAGAAACTTGAATGCAGAAACAGACATGAGAATCTAGCTCTGTTACTAAGGTGCACATTAACTGGCAAAAATGTGAAGCAATGTCATTCTTCCCTTTCAATTATTTTTGTTTTAGAAAATATGGCCAGACGCAGCGGCTCATGCCTGTAATCCCAGCACTTTGGGAGGCTGAGGTGGGCGGATCACTTGAGGTCAAGAGTTCGAGACCAGACTGGCCAACATGGTGAAACCCCATCTCTACTAAAAATACAAAAATTAATGGGGCGTGGTGGCACGTGCCTGTAATCCCAGCTGCTCGGGAGGCTGAGGCAGGGGAATCACTTGAACCTGGGAGGGAGAGATTGTGGTGGGCCAAGACCGTGCCATTGCACTTCAGCCTGGGTGGCAGAGTGAAACTGTCCCCCCCCCAAAAAAAAAATTAAAAGAAAATATAGTTATTTTTTATTAAAAAGGGTCATTTATGTTAACAAGTAATAGGTATATTATTGTTAGCTTTAAATGAATACGAAAACAAATTCAGTTTTAATGTCTAATATAGTGAATACTGACAGATGTTAATTCACTATACAAAAAGCCCTTTAAAAGTTTCTTCATTACTTTTCAGTGTGTAGTGGGGTCCTGAGACCAAAATTTTGAGAACTCTTACTCTCAAGAGAGAGCTAAGCATTTTTAGGATTAAGGGGGAATGACAGACTTTCGCTTTATCTGTATAGCTTAATAGTTACAACCAAAATATATTTGTGTTACTTATACAATTACAAATATAAATACAATGATCCTTCAGTGTACAATTGCCTGTATTAATAGTGTTTATTTTCATTACAAAGTAGAGCACTCATGTGAAGCGGTTTTCCGCTTTCTAGCCGAGCAACCTCTCAGGATGCAGTTTCTATGGACTCAGGCCATTTAAAAGTTAACAAAAGATCAACACTAGTCACAGGTGTGAAGCCTCCGGGGTTCTCTTCAGTTCCCAGCCTAGTCCTCCAGCCTGTTAATTCTTCCCTCCCTGGAGGCTCCTTTCCAACATCAGGGGCCCTGCTTGCCCATGCCCCTTGCTTCTATAAAAACAAGGAAGGATATGACACAATCTATTTTTGGTTGGTTGATTTCATGAATATATTCACACAAAATCATGCCAAACAGCTATTTTAGCGTTTAAGCTTATCATCTCTAATTATGTAGCAAGATGCTTTCTTCATCAAGAAATTCCTATTTCCACTAATCAGGTTTAGGGATGTTTCTAGGCCTGAGGGGTTTGGAAATTCATATTAAGTCTACTGGACTGATCTCTGAAGAGAGTAATGACATCCTTTAGAAAGACTGTTAGTGGAGGGAGGAAGAAGAGGGCAATCATTCTCTCCAGATGGCTGTCTCTTGGAAGCCTAGTTCTAGAAAAATGCTGGGAGTAGAGTGATGGGGAAAGAGGAAGGCAGGAGCTAATGTAAGCTGAGCATCTACCATGGTCCTGGTACTTCACACCCTTTATCTCTTTAAAGGGTGAGGTGAGTAACATTTGCTTTTTTTTTTTTTTTTTTTGAGACGGGAATTTCACTCTTGTTGCCCAGGCTGGAGTGCAATGGCGTGATCTCAGCTCACTGCAACCTCCGCCTCCCGGGTTCAAGCAATTCTCCTGCCTCAGCCTCCAGAGTAGCTGGGATTACAGGCATGCATCACCACAATTCGCTGATTTTTTGTATTTTTAGTAGAGACGGGGTTTCACTACGTTGGCCAAGTTGGTTTCAAACTCCTGATCTCAGATGATCCACTTGCCTCGGCCTCCCAAAGTGCTGGGATTACAGGCGTGAGCCACCGCACCCAGCCACACATTTGCATTTTTAAAAGAAATAAATGCTCAAAAAGGTAAGTTACTCAAATTTCCCTATCTAGTAAAGAAATAGGGTAAGGATCCAAGTTACTCCTGTCGGAGAACAAAGTCCTACTGTCCTACCCCGTCACCGTACCATGCTGACTTCATGCTTATTACTCACTGATTGCCCATGGGTCTTCTTTCGAGATTTCTCTAGCCCTAATGGAGTACAGCACCCTGTCCTACCTTCTTTAGCCTTGATCTCACCCTAGGCCTTGAGAACACACATTCTCTCATTTCTGCTTCATATGGCACTGTTTGGGGGTAGTTATTGGTGGTAATATTACAGGTTCCCCTACTTATCCCCTTTTCTTCCTATCATCTGGAATACTCTAAGGCCCTTTTTACACCTAATACTAGATTTGAAGATTCTAATGGAGTTGTATGTTTAGAAATTTGTCTTGTTAACTATGATACATTTTTTGAGCTACTTTTTAAGGTAACAGTAAAAAATTATACATTCCTACCTTGTGTCAATTAAGATGTGTTATACAAACTAAACATTGTCAATCAGAGCTTTTCCCTTAAAAAGAGAAAAAAAAAGGGAGAGAAAGAGTGCCATGAAACCATGAACACATACAGTTTTCTATCTTTAAAATGATAAGAAGTTCTTTTTTGAACTGTGTAAGTTATGGGTTAATCGAACTTGATAGTTACCACAGTCAGAGTATTAAAGCCAGCTCTCCCAAGCAGATGTCCCAGGTCATTGACAGCAGTGAAAGGAGAAATGTGTGGAGAAAATCCTCCTTCCCTTTCCGTTTCCGCTAACTGTAAGGAACACCGAAGTTCATAGAGTGTGTCGCCTCCAAACATTGCACCGATAAACACTCCATCTGGTTTTAAAATATAATGAATCTGTAATAAATACAAGAAAACAAAATGATTCAAATTTTTATATATATAAATGTTAAAAAATAAATATATAGTGTCTAAATTAACATTTTATGACAACCACTTTTATTCTGCCAAATTAATAATCACATAATTTAACAAATAACATCTAATGCAACCAACTGTCAGAAAATCATGATGCATAATATACTTGGAAAGACAACTATACATTCACTAATATTAATGCCTATAAAAATATGTTGTATGTTTTCAAGTTTTCTAATAGGTATACAACTTAGTTTTATAATCAGAAAAATGCTGAAAGAGAAAAAAAAATTTAATTGGGGTAGGCTGCAAAAATCACAAACCTCCCTGCATCTATGGCCTCTGAAACGTCGTTTTCTAACAACTTTCATCAAGATAGGGAGTCTATTTCCCCTCCCCTTGAATCTTGGCTGGCCTTGTGACTCGCTTTGGCCAAAAGAATGCAGTGGAAGTGACAGTGTGCCAGTTCCACGTCTAGGTCTCAAATGTGTTGCATGCTTCCACCTGCTCTCTTGGAGCCCAGCCCAGCCACGATGTGTGAACAAGCCTGAGCTAGCCTAGAGGAGGAGGAGAGATGTAGGGCAGAGATCAGCCAGCTGTGTGCACCGAGGCCCTCCAAACCAGCTAGCTCCCAGACGATCTGGCAGCTGATCACAGACACACAGATGAGCCAAGCCAGACCCAGATTTCCTAACCAAATCCAGCCCCAACTGCCAACCCACAAAATCATGGGCTACATAGTTGTTGTTTTAAGCCATCAAGTTGGGGTGCCTTATTATGCAGAAAAAGCTACAGAGAAATCATTATGATTCACAGCATTAACCTAGTAACATATTACCTTTCGTTAAAGAGAAGTAATCAATTTATTTTCCAGCTTTAAAACAAAACCAATTTCTAATTAGTAACTTAAGGAAAATAATGGCCAGAGAGAATTCCAGAATCACAGATTTTGCTCACTCTCAGACTACAAGCTGTAACTAGTTTGATTGACTATTCTCAGCAATGAGGACCATTACAGGAAAAGGTAGATTCTGAAGTAAACCAGAATCCAAATCACAGTAGGCTCTTCTAATAAAAGTACTGTCTTAAATTTATATTTAATATGTCATGAAGCAATTAAAAGCAGTATTAAGTAAATAATTTGTAAAAGCTTTGGTTCCTTCCCTTCTTCACCTTTAGTGTTGCTTCCTCCTCCTGTCATCAAACTCTACTAAACCAAATACCTAAGACTTAGTTCTCAGAATTCTGCAGCTCCCCGCTCTCCCTCAGACAGCTTATCAACTTCCATGATTTCACAATGACCACTTTCCAATCCCTAACTTCAGCTTGGCCATCTTCTCAGAAGTCCAAAGTCATCTTCAACTGCCTATTCCCTGGACATTTGTCTCTCAGCATACTCACCGTCCCTGCTCCCTCCAACCCCTACAAGGAAAACATCTATTTATCAAATCAATTCCCCTTTCCAACTGCCATATTTCTATTGCCATTTTCTATTCCCTTTATCTGATCATTAACATTCTTTCCCCTACTTTTACTAATCCAGACTCAAAAACTTCAAAGTGAGTTTTGCCTCCTCCCTTTGATCTTCAGATCTAATCAGTCACCAAACTGTTGATTCTTTCCTTGTAGAGTCCTAAATACTCTTCCTTTTAACTCCTACCATTACCACCTAGGTTTAGTTTATCTCATTCTTGGACCACTGAAACAGTCTCCCTTCAATTTAACGAACTGCTCCAGGCATCAGTTTCTTTCTTTTTTTTTTTTTTGAGACAGAGTCTCACTCTGTCGTCTAGGCTGGAGTGCAATGGCGTGATCTCAGCTCACTGCAACCTCTGCCTCCCGTGTTCAAGAGAATCTCCTGCCTCAGCATCCCAAGTAGCTGGGATTACAAGCACCTGCCACCACACCTGGCTAATTTTTGTATTTTTAGTAGAGGCGGGGTTTCACCATGTTGGCCAGGCTGGTCTCGAACTCCTAACCTCAGGTGATGCAACCACCTCAGCCTCCCAAAGTACTGGGATTACAGGCATGAGCCACCACGCCCAGCCGAGGCATCAGTTTCTAATCAGCAAAATAAATACATCTCGCAGAGCTATTTAACACAAATATAAAACAGAGCACAGTAACGGGAAACTGGAAAATCATACGTGTTCAGATATGGCCATTATTATTTTGCCCACCAGCTTTATAATGATGTCATTTTCCTCTTCAAAATGCTCCAGTGGCTCTGAATTGCATAAACTCCAAATTCCTCAACCTGACACTCAAATCCTCCTAAATACTGTCCCAATACATCACACCTCACTTCCCAGCACTATACTAGTCCTCCAAACAGGTTTCCTTTTTGTTCCTTAATGCTGATGAAGCTCTTGTGCCTCTCCACCTATCCTGTGATTCTGCCTTCTTAGAATGCCTTCCCAATCCAAACTTTACCTACCCTCTAAGGCCCTGCTCAAGTACTTTCCTCTTGAAGCTTTTCTAGGCCATGTCAAGCCACAGGGATCTTGTTCTCTCCTTTGAACACATACTTTTTACCTGCCTCTCACCTGTCTATTGATACGTGTCAATCGATAAAAACTTACCTAGCACTCTCTGAGTATAAGGCATGGAGAAAATACAAATATAAATAAGTAGGTTCCTACTTGCAAAAAGTTTATGGGCAACTAAGGGTAAGAAGAAATCTACATAGAGAATGTCTTATGATTTCAATATTATTTTGCACAGTTCCTAAGCTTTTCATAAATATTTAAAACTTATCTCTACAATTAGATTTCTTAAATTCTCAGGGAAAGGAGAGTTGCCCAATGTACTACTAATATGCCAAATGGCACCAGATGATTTCACCGATTTCTTTCCCAACTGTCAGACCTACAAGTAAATAGTATGTGAAAATAGAAACATCTGTAGATTTCTAACAATAAAGAAAATAACACAAGATAGTTGAATGAACATAAGTTTTCTTACCTGCTCAAGTGCTCTAGGAAGGTCATTCACCCAATGCAAACTAAAATATGAGAATACAGATTTGTTTTAGCTTAACTGGCACAATTAATTAGTAAAATTATCACCAGGTTAATGATAACCCATAAAAAGGTGTTAATTTTGAAGTTTAAAACTGCATATCCAAATCCACTGATCGTTTTCATACAGGTTTTAAAATTATAAATATTCCTAGAGGAAAACCTGCCTTGTGTCACACCAGAAAATTCCCCATGTCAATATATCACTTTGCGTAACTGAAAGAATCTGATATGATTATTTTCTAATTATTCATCACTGAATTATGTAAAAGTCATTCCTACTTAGGCATTTTATCTAAACGGTGCTATTCTGAGACCTTATTTGCAAAAAGTAGTAAAAATGCTCAAAGAAGCTCATCAGTTAAATCAATTAAGCTACAGAAATATAGTATTATTCTAAGTCAGACTTTCTTAGAAAAAAATTATCTGCAGATCTAAATTTTTTCAAGGCAAACAGTGTAACTCATCAAAAGTTTGAATCTGTGAGTTTTCCAATAATATCCCATTTTTTAAAAAATCAATTTTTAAGACTTTATTTTTAATTATTTTTGGAGCAGTTTTAGGTTTACAGCAAAATTAAGAGGAAAACCCAGAGATTTTTTTACATACTCCTATTCCCACACATGCACAGCCTCCCCCATTATCAATATCTCCAGAGTGTATATTTGTTACAACTGATGAAGCTATACTGATAAGTGATTATCCCCCAAGTCCATAGTTTACATTAAGGTTCACTTTTGGTGTTGTATATTCTAAGGGTTTGGATAAACGTGTAATGTCATATATCCAATATTATAATAGTATCATAGAGTAGCTTTACTGCCCTAAAAATCCTCTGTGCTCCACCTATTCATCCTTCCCCTACACAACCCCTGGCAATCACCAATCTTTTTCACTGTCTCCAGAGTTTGCTTTTTCCAGATTGTCACAGTTGGAATTACACACTATGTAGCCTTTTCAGATTAGCTTCTGTCATTCAGTAATACGCATTTAAGTTTCCTCCAAATATTTTAATGGCTTGACAGTTTCTTTTTAGTGCTGAATAATATTCTGTTGTTTGGATACAACAAAGTTTATCCATTCACCTACTGAAGGACATCTTGGCTGCTTCCAAATTTTGGCAATTATGAATAAGGCTACTATAAACATTTGTGTGCAGGTTTTTGCGTGGACGTAAGTTTTCATCTCCTTTGGGTAAACACCAAGGAGCATGCAATCGCTGGATCGTACGCTAAGAGTATGTTTAGTTTTGTAGGAAACAACCAACCTATCTTGCAAAGTGCCTGTACCATTTCGCATTCCCACCAATAATGAACTCCACATCCTTGTCGCATTTAGTGTTGTCAGTGTCCTGGATTTTGGCCATTCTAGTAGGTGTGTGGTACATCCATTTTTTAAGGTGATAAAAACAAACAAAAACCAGAGCTGTATACACTGAAACTTAATCTCTTAAATTTTTTCCTTTTTTGAGACAGAGTCTTGCTGTTGCCCAGGCTGGAGTGCAGTGGCGCGATCTTGGCTCACTGCAACCTCTGCCTCCCAGGTTCAAGTAATTCTCATGCCTCAGCCTCTCGAGCAGCTGGAATTACAGGCATGCGCCATGACATGCAGCTAATTTTTGTATTTTTAGTAAAGACAGGGTTTCACCACGTAGCCCAGGTTGGTCTTGAACTCCTGGCCTCAAGTGATCTGCCTGCCTCGGCCTCCCAAAGGGCTGGGATTATAGGCGTGAGCCACCGTGCCCGGGCCTTGAATTTTCTTTTGACCCTACTCTCACCTAGAGTGTAGTCATGCGTGACAGCGAAAGTCATATTCCCAGTCTCCTTAGAGTACGGTCACACTTTTCTGGTATAACTGCCTCCCCTTATGCTGAGTTCCAGGACAGAACTGAATGTCCATTTCAAACCATACTGTGTTAAGCTCATGTTTATCTTTCCTAATGCTTTTCGACAAGTATTAGATACTTTAAAAACTAAGGAGCTCATACTATAAACTCTATCATACTTATGGGAAAACAGAAAGCAACAGAATTAGTCACCTGCAAATAGCAAGCAGATGAGCTAACATAAAAACTCAGGTTCTGACTCCCTGCCCAGGGTTCTTTATAGACCAAGGCTCTGCATATTTTTCATTTCATGACAGAATGTGAGTAGTTTTCTAACTTTGTTCAGCACATCTAAAAAACCAGGGAAGGAATTACACACTCACGAAAGAAAACATCAAGGGTGACCAGCTTTCCCAGAACATAAGACTTTCAGGCCAAAAGTGGCAAAGTCCTGGGCACACCTTGATGACTGGTCACCCTAAAAACAGCTATCGAAAGAGTTGAACTGGACGTGGAGAGCCTGCTGAACTTCTGAAAGAAAATCTATTTGACTATAAGACAGGAGAAAGAAGATACCACAAAGATATTTTTTCTGTTAGACTGAGTTATTTGAGGACAGGATCCCTAATTCATTTTTGTATTCACCCAAAAATCTGGCTCAGTGCCTTGTATCCTATAACCTATTTGATATATACTTGCATTACATGTTTGTGTAACATATGTGGAGGAAGATAGTAGAAAACATAAAGGGAAAAGAGTAATCTTGAGAACTACATTCTGGTACAGAATTATTATTATTTTGAGACAGGGTCTTGCTTTGTCACCCACGCTAGAGTGCAGTGGCATGATCATGGCTCACTGCAGCCTCAACTTACCAGGCTCAAGTGATCCTCCTGCCTCAGCCTCCCAAGTAGCTGGGACTACAGGCATGCGCCACCTTGCCCAGCTAATTTTTTAATTTTTTGTAGAGATGGCATTTCATTATGTTGCCCAGGCTGGTCTCGAACTCCTGGGTTCAAGCAGTCCTGTTACTGCAGCCTCCCAAAGTGTTGGGATTGCTGGTGAGAGCCACTGTACCTGGCCAGAAGAATTAAGGCTAAAGGAAAACTAGCTGTCCTAGTTTGAGTTTGTCCAGAATGAGTTTGTCCAGAATTTGTCCAGAATGAGTTATGATTGTTGGGAGCAGGAGTTTGAAAGAATATATTCTATGCTCTCTGGTGGAGATAATATGATATAGTGCCTCAACTTTTTTTTCCCCCAACTTGCTAAACTCATCTGTGATAGAAGGGTTTTCTCCCCAATGTAACTTATTATTTTGGAATTGCTCTAACATTTGAATACAGGAGCCAATATGCTCTTTCAAACTCCTGCTCCCAACAAGAGCAATTCCAAAATATTAAGATGCACTGGGGAGAAAAACCTTCTATCACAGATGAACTTTAGGAAGTTCATGCATGCCACCACGCCCAGCTACCTTTTTTGTATTTTTAGTAAAGACAGGGTTTCAACATGTTGGCAAGGCTGGTTTCAAACTCCTGACCTCAAGAGATTCACTCGCCTCGGCCTCCCAAAGTGCTAGCATTACAGGCGTGAGCCACCGCTCCTGGCCTCATAGCAAAACTTTATGGCAAGAATGATCTGTTTATAACATATGGTTTTTAAAAAGTGGATTACCAACCTTAAACTGCTAACCACCAGGTCAAATGTATTTTCTTTGAAGGGAAGGAATTCTTCATCAGCTAAAACGCTGACAGTAGGTATTTCTGTTTCTGAGGAATTTTTCTAATGTTAAGAAAACGAAAGATCAAAATCACATTTATGTAGAATCTCAATTACTAACACAATCACTGTTTGTTAAATTGAAGTCAATGTTATATTTACTTGGCAGTTTCTACCCCCCTTCCCAAAGGTGGCACAGAGAAGGCACCCAAAAAGCATTTCTTAAATGACTTAACATCAGCCAGAAAAAATGGCTAACTAGTTGAAACAACATAAACAGGATACCAACCTCACACCAAAACAAATCTCAGAAAGCTAGTTTGGCTGGGCGTGGTGGCTCACGCCTATAATCCCTGCACTTTGGGATGCCAAGGTGGGCAGTCACTGAAAGTCAGGAGTTCGAGACCAGCCTGGCCAACATGGTGAAACCACGTCTCTACTAAAAATACAAAAATTAGCTGGACGTGGTGGCACGCACCTGTAATCTCAGCTACTCGGGAGGCTGAGGCAGGAGTATCGCTTGAACCCGGGAGGCGGAGGTTGCAGTGAGCTGAGATCGCACCACTGCACTCCAGCCTGGACAACAGTGCAAGACTGTCTCAGAAAAAAAAAAAGAAAAAAGAAGGCTGAAAGTTTTAGTGAAACAACCGAAGTACTAGATGAAAATATGGGTGGACTGGACATTTTACCCTTAGATGAAAAAGCCTAGGTAAACATAATTCAAAAGCCAGAAACTGTAAAGGAAAAGACTGATATATTTGATGATAAACTAATTAAAAACTTCTATTAATAGAAATCAATAAACAATGTAAACAACTGAGGAAAATATTTACAACATATACAATGAAGGATTAATATCCCTAAAAACCAAGCTCTTACAAATCACCTAGAATAAAAACACAAGATAGCTAAAGAGGACAAGGTGCAGGCATATCACAAAATTATTTACAAAATTCACAAGAAATACCAATAGTCAAAAGATATCAGCAGCTGTCAGACTGACCCAGACGAAAAGGCTGGCCCAGTGTTGCCAAAGCAAAGTAGTAAAAAGTACCTTTGTCATTGTTCAGTCTTTCTAAGGGCAGTCTGAAGATGTATGTCAAAAAATTTTTAAATGAACATCAAAATGAATCCATAAATTCCGCTACCAGGAATTTATACCCACGGAAAAAAATAAATCAAACATACAATGTGGCTTCACATAAGGATTTTCACTGCAGTGTTGGTTATTGAGAAACTAGAAACGTAACTGCCCTTCAATAGAAAGTTTAGCTAAATAAACTATGGAGTATTCATATATTAGAATACCATGTAGCCATTTAAAAAGATGATATATGACACACATAAGTATAAATTCACTGACAAAAAAAATGATGTGCCGTAAATAACATGGAATATTAGCATAGTAATGTTCATACACAGTTGTGTGTTGGGGGGGCGGGGACAGTTATATGTCTGCAAATGTGGAGACCAAGTGCCACCAATGGTTGCCTCTGAATGGTAGGACTAGGGGTGATAGGGGTGATTTTTCCTTTGTTCTTGATATTTCCTGTATGAGTTCCTTTTCATGTGTCAGAAAAGAAAGCTAGTTTGAAGGAAATAAAAATAAAGAAATAAAATATGAGAAAACACATCACGAGATTAGAAACCAACAGTATTAAAAAGCTACCTACCAAAGCATTTTCTGCAATGTCAGCTTGGAAAAACTTTCCAATAGTTTCCTGCAATGGAATAACTGAAGCTGAAACAAACAAATCCAGTCACAAACAATTGCTGACATTTCTAAAGGTAAAAGTGTTAATTACATTTTAATTTTCAGCTTTGTAAAGGTATATTTCTGCATAAAACCAGTATGGTACACAAATACTTTTAATAACACATATCCTTTGCTATATTTAACTATATGTAATAAAATAGAGAACATGAGTATGCGTATTCAACATTCCGAATTTACTACACTGGGTGAGGGCTTCCGTGTTAACTTTTCCATGGCATAACATGCTAAGAGCTATTTCCCCACTCCTGTGTCACAAAGGACCTGCTATGAGTTTCCCGCCTTTTAGTTGTTCATCCAAAGAGTTTACAGAGTAAAGAAAGACTTACAGGTAGAGGCTTAGGGTTCCATTTTCCCTGTTTCGCCTACCCTCTCTCCCTTCCAAAAGGAAAGGAGACTGTGCTATTTCTGCACCAGAAAAACACTTTCTTTCCCCCTCAGCCCTCTTTTCTCCGGGATCCTGCTCTCTCCATCTCCATCTCTATCAATCTTTAGTCTGTGTCTTCTGTGTCTCCTTCCTCCACCTTACAACAGGCACAAGCTTTCCAATTACAAAAAATCTCCTCCCTCTAGGTACCTTCTGGTTGTTTGGTTTATAATCCACAACTCTACTTCTTCCTAGATTCTTTCTCCCCATTCTGGGTATCTCTTTGCTTTCACTGCTCTGCTAACACTATCTGCAGTCTGTGCTCACTGCTCTCAGTCCTGCTTCACCTGACCTCTTTGAAGCACAGCATTGTCAACAGCCTACTAGAAGCTTCTTCAGAAGCTTCTACTCTGGCTGCCCTTCTCTATTAGAGAAGCCAATCCTTTTTTACTTTACCCACACCCACTTCCCTGTCTGAAACTTGGAAAGATTTCATGCTACCAACATGATGTTGCTAAATATGGAGCTGGGAAGAGTGCTCAATAGCTCTCATGAGCCAGCTCCAGCACACTCCTGTGAGGGGTGAAGAATTAGATGGACAGGATTATCTATCCCTGTCTCTCACTTGAAAATTTGAACTAAGAGACTTCGAGATAATAGCAGAGGTCCCTGGAGTTGGAAGAACATTTAGACTTCAGGGTATAGGCAGTGGTGTGCTGGCTCTTGGTTGGGGACTGCTTTGTAGCATTTGCCAACTTCCATGGTATAAATATTCCCACCAGGGCTGATGTCAAGCTATCAATATGATGTCACAGAACAGAGGTTGGGAAGAGATGCTAACAATTGGCTCTCACAGGCTGGCCTAAGCTAGCTTCAGCTACCCTTGGGTGTAGCATATTCATATGGGGCCACACACACTGATGAACACTACTATGGATAGACTACAGGGAGTAAAAAGAATGAAGGCAACCAGACAGCATTCATGTAGTACCAGAGTGCATGCGAACAGGAGGAACATTGTTATGGTGTTTCAAAGTTCCCATCTCTTGTGAGGCCTGGCTCTATTTCTGGATCCCTGAGTTACATAAGAGCCTCTCTGTAACAAATGTCTCTGTGTTTAAACTGGCTTCAGCACATTTTTGCTTTCAACAATCAAAAGATACCTTACTAAGACACTTTCCATCTTACTATTCCTGGCATCTTTATTGGCTCTTCCTCTTTCTCCCAACCCTAAGTACAATTGCAGAAGGTTCTTTTCTATATTCTTGCCTCAGAGAGTTTACCTATTTCTACGGCTTCAATTGTCACTT